>NC_000022.11:12488690-12641730 GCF_000001405.40 Homo sapiens
GAATTCTTCTCTCTAGTTTCTATGTGAAGATATTTCCTTTTCCACTGTAGGCCTCAAGTCGCTCAAAAGGTCCACTTGCAGATCCTACAAAAACAGTATTTCAAAACTGGTCCATCAAAAGAAAGGTTCGACTCTTTGAGCTGAATGCACACATCACAAAGAAGTTTCTCAGAATGCTTCTATCTTGTTTTTATGTGAAGATATTTCCTTTTCCACCATAGGCCTCAAAGCAATCCAAATGTCCACTTGCAGATGCTACAAAAAGAGTGTTTGAGAGCTGCTCAATCAAAAGAAAGGTTCCACTCTGTGAGACGAATGCACACATCATAAAGAAGTTTGTCATAATGCTTCTGTCTAGTTATTATATGAAGATATTTCATTAACCACCATAGGCCTCAAAGTGCAGCAAATATCCGCTTGCAGATTCTACAAAAAAGAGTGTTTCAAAACTGCTTAATTGAAAGTAAGGTTCAACTCTTTGAGATGAATGCACACATCACAAAGGAATTTCTCAGAATCCTTCTGCCTAGTTCTTATGTGAAGATATTTCCTTTTCCACCATAGGCCTCAAAGCACTCCAAATGTCCACTTGTAGATACTACAAAAAGGGTGTTTCAAAACTGCTCAATCAAAAGTAAGGTTGAATTCTGTGGGATGAATTCACACATCACAAAGGAGTTTGTCAGAAAGCTTCTTTCTGGTTTTTATGTGCAGATATTTCCTTTTCCACGAAAGGCCTCAAAGCACTCCAAATGTCCAATTGCAGATGTTACAATAAGAGTGTTTCAGAGCTGCTCAATCAAAAGAAAGGTTCCACTCTGTAAGATGAAAACACACATCACAAAGAAGTTTTTCATAATGCTTCCATCTAGTTATTATATGAAGATATTTTGTTAACCACCATAGGCCTCAAAGTGCAGCAAATGTCCACTTGCAGATTCTACAAAGAGAGTGTTTCCAAACTGCTCAATCAAAAGAAAGGTTCAACTCTGTGAGATGAATGCACACATCACAAAGAAATTTCTCAGAATACTTCTGTCTAGTTCTTATGTGAAGATATTTCCTTTTCCACCATATGTCTCAAAGCACACCAAATGTCCACTTGTAGATATTTCAAAAAGGGTGTTTCAAAACTGCTAAATCAAAAGTAAGATTCAACTCAGTGAGATGAATGCACATATCACAAAGAAGGTTGTCAGAATGCTTCTGTCTAGTTTTTATGTGAAGAAAATTCTTTTTCCACCATAGGCCTCAAAGCGCTCAAAATGTCCACTTGCAGATTCTACAAAGAGAGTATTTCAAAACTGCTCAATGAAAAATAAGGTTCAACTCTGTGAGATGAGTGCACACATCACAAAGAAGTTTGTCAGAATGCTTCTGTCTAGTTTTTATGTGAAGATTTTTCCTTTTCCACCATAGGCCTCAAAGCTCTCCAAATGTCCACTTGCAGATTCTACAAAAAGAGTGTTTCAAAGTTGTTCAATCAAAAGAAAAGTTCAACTCTGTGAGATGAATGCACACATCACAAAGAAGTTTCTCAGAATGCATCTGTCTACTTTTAACCTGAAGATATTTACTTTTCCACCATAGGCCTCAAATCGCTCCAAATGTCCATTTGCAGACACTACAAAAAGAGTGTTTCAAAACTGCTCAATGAAAAGTAAGGTTCAACTCTGTGAGATGAATACACACAACACAAAGAAGTTTGTCAGAATGGTCTGTCTAGTTTTTATGTGAAGATATTTCCTTTTTCACCATAGGCCTCATAGTGCTCCAAATGTCCACTTGTGGATTCTACAAAAAGAGTGTTTCAAAGCTTCTCAATGAAAAGCAAGGTTTAACCCTGTGAGACGAATGCACACATCACAAAGAAGTTTCTCAGCAGGCTTCTGTCTAGTTTTTATGTGAAGACATTTCCTTTTCCTCAATAGGACTCAAAGTCCTCCAATTGCTCACTTGCAGATTCTACAAAAAGAGTGTTTCAAAATTGCTCAATGAAAAGTAAGGTTCAACTCTGTGAGATGAATGCACACATCACAAAGAAGTTTGTCAGAATGCTTCTGTCTGGTTTTTATGTGAAGATATTTCCTTTTCCACCATAGGCCTCAAAGCACTCCAAATGTCCACTTGCTGATTCTACAAAAAGAGTGTTTCAAAGATGATCAATCAAAAGAAAGGTTCAAATCAGTGTGAGATGAATGCACACATCACAAAGAAGTTTCTCAAAATGCTTCTGTCTAGTTATTATATGAATATATTTGGTTATCCACTATAGGCCTCAAAGCGCTCCAAATGTCCACTTGCATATACTACAAAAAAAGTGTTTCAAAGCTGCTCAATCAAAACAAAGGTTCACCTCGGTGAGATGAATGCACATATCACAAAGAAGTTTGTCAGAACCCTTCTGTCTAGTTTTTATGTGAATATATTTCCTTTTTCACCATATGCCTGAAATTGTTCCAAATGTCCACTTGCAGGTTCTACAAAAAGAGTGTTTCCAAACTGCTCAATAAAAAGAAAGGCTCAACTCTGTGAGATGAACACACTCAGCACAGGAGTTTCTCAGAATTCTTTTTTCTCGTTTTTATGTGAAGATATTTCCTTCTCCACCATAGGTCTCAAAGTGCTCCAAATGTCCACTTGCAGATTGTACAACAAGAGTGTTTCAAAACTGTTCAATCAAAAGAAATGTTCAACTCTGTGAGATGAATGCACACATCATAAGGCAGTTTGTCAGAATGCTTCTGTCTAATTTTTATGTGAAGATATTTCCTTTTCCACCGTAGTCCTCAAAGCACTCCAATTGTACACTTGTAGAATCTACAAAAAGAGTGTTTTAAAAGTGCTCAATCAACAGAAATGTTCAACTCCGTGAGATGAAGGCACACATCACAAAGAAGTTTGTCAGAATGTTTCTGTCCAGTTCTGAAACACAATTTTTGTGCTATCTACAAGTGGACTTTTGGAGTGCTTTGAGGCCTATGGTTGATAAGGAAATATCTTCACATAAAAACTAGACAGAAGCATTCTGACAAATTTCTTTGAGATGTGTGCACTCATCTCACAGAGTAGAACATTTCTTTCGATTGAGTAATTTGGTAACTCTCTGTAGAATCTGCAACTGGATATTTGGAGCACTATGAGGCCTATGGTTGAAAAGGAAGTATCTTCACTTAAGAACTAGACAGAAACATTCTGACAAACTTCTTTGTGATGTGTGCATTCATCTCACAGAGTTGAACCATTCTTTTGATTGAGCAGTTTTGAAACACTCTCTTTGTAGAATCTGCAAATGGACATTTGGAGGGCTTTGTGACCTATGGTGGAAAAGGAAATATCTTCACATAAAAACTATTCTGAAACATTCTGACAAACTCCTTTGTGATGCATGCATTCATCTCATGGAGTTGAAACTTCCTTTGCATTGAGCAGTTTTGAAAAACCCTTTTTGTAGAATCTGCAAGTGTACACTTGGAGTGCTTTGAGGCCTATTGTCGAAAAGGTAAAAAAGTCACATAAAATCTATACAGGATCATTCTTAGAAAATTCTTACTGATGTGATAATTTATCTCACAGAGTTTAATCTTTCTTTTGATTGAGTAGTTGTGAAACACTCTTTGTAGAATTTCCACGTGGACGTTTGGCCACTTAGAGGCCTATGTTGGAAAAGGAAATATCTTCACATTAAAACTAGACAGAAGCTTTCTGAGGTACTTCTTTGTGATGTGTGCATTCATCTCAGAGAGTTGAACCTTTCTTATGAATGAGCAGTTTGGAAAAACTCTTTTTGTAGAATCTGCAATTGGACATTTGGAGCGCTTTGCAGCCTATGTTGGAAAAGGAATCATCTCACATAAAAACTAGACAGAAGCAACCTGACAAACTTCTTTGTGATGTCTGCATTCATCTCAAATGGTTGAACCTTACTTTCAATTGAGCAGTTTTGAAACACTCATTTTGTAGAATCTGCAATTGGTCATTTGGAGTGCTTTGAGGCCTATGATGCAAAACGAAATATCTTCACATATTAACTAGACAGAAGCATTCTGAGAAACTTCTTTGTGATGTGTGCATTCCTCTCACAGAGCTGAATATTTCTTTTGATTGAGCAGCTTTGAAACACTCTTTTTGTAGAATCTGCAAGTGGACATTTGCTGCACTTTGCAAACTATGGTGGAAAAGGGAATATCTTCACATAAAAACTAGACTGAATCATTCTGAGAAAATACTTTGTGATGTGTGCATTCATCTCATAGAGTTGAATATTGCTTTTGATTGAGCAGTTTTGAAACACGCTTTTTGTACTATCTGGAAGTGGATATTTGGAGTGCTTTGAGGCCTATGGTGGAGAAGGAAATATCTTTGCATAAAAACTAGACAGAAACATTCTTACAAATTCCTTTGTGATGTGTGCATTTATCTCACAGAGTTGAACCTTTCCTTTGATTGAGTAGTTTGGAAACCCTCTTTTTGTAGAATTGGCAAGTGGACATTTGAGTGCTTTGAGGCCTATGGTGGAAAAAGAAATATCTTCAATTAAAAATTAGACAGAAGCATTCTGAGCGATTTCTTTGTGATGTGTGCATTCATGTCACAGAGTTGAAATTTTCTTTTGATTGAACAGTTTTGAAACACTCTTTTTGTAAAATCTGCAACTGGACATTTGGAGCACTTTGAGGACTATGATGGAAAAGGCAATATCTTCACATAAAAACTAGACATAAGCATAATGAGAAATTTCTTTGTGATGTGTGCATTCATCTCACAGAGTTGAACTTTTCTTTTGTTTGAGCAGCTTAAAAACACTCTTTTTGTAGAATCTGCAAGTGAACTTTTGGAGTGCTTTGAGGCCTATGGCGGAAAAGGAAATATCTTCACATAAAAACTATGGAGAAAGATTCGCCAAATTTCGTCATAATGGGTGCATTCATCTTATGGAGTTGAAAATTAGTTTTGAATGACCAATTTGAAACACTCTTTTTGTAGAATCTGCACATAGACATTTGGAGCACTTTGAGGCCTATGGTGGAAAATGAAATATCTTCACATAAAAACTAGAAAGAAGCATTATGAAAAAATTTTGTGATGTGTGCATTCATCTCACAGAGTTGGACCTTTCTTTTGATTGAGCAGTTTTGAAACACTCTTTTTGTAGAATCTGCAAGCAGACATTTGGAGCGCCTTGATTCCTATGGTCGATAACGAAATATCTTCCTTTAACAACTAGACAGAAGCATGGTGAGAAATTTCTTTGTGATGTGTGCATTCATCTCACAGAGTTGAACCTTTCTTTAGATTGAGCAGCTTTGAAACACGCTTTTTGTAGGATCTGCAAGTGGTCATTTGGAACACTTTGAGGCCTATGGTGGAAAAGGAAATATCTTCAGATAAAAACTAGACAGAAGCATTCTACCAAACATCTTTGTGATGTGTGCATTCATCTCACAGAATTGAATCTTACTTTTGATTGAGGAGTTTTGAAAGACGCTTTTTGTACTATTTGCAAGTGGACATTTGGAGTGATTTGAGGCCTATGGTGGAAAAGGAAATATCTTCACATGAGAACTAGACAGAAGCATCTTGACAAATTTCTTCATCATGTGTGCATTCATCTCACAAAGTTGAACCTTACTTTTCATTGAGCAGTTTTGAAACACTGTTATTGTAGAATTTGCAAGTGGACATTTAGAGCGCTGTGAGACCAATGGTGGAAAAGGAAAAATCTTCACATAAAAACTAGACAGAAGCATTGTGACAAACTTCTTTGTGATGTGTGCATTCATCTCACAGAGTTGAAACTTTCTTTTGATTGACCAGCTTTCATACTCTCTTTTTGTAGAATCTGGATGTGGACATTTGGAGCGCTTTGAGGCCCATGGTGGAAATGGTAATATCTTCCCATAAAAACCAGACAGAAGCATTCTGACAAACTTCTTTTTGATGTGTGCATTCATCTCACAGAGTTGAACTTTCTTTTGATTGAGCAGCTTTGAAACACTCTTTTTGTAGAATCTGCAAGTGGACATTTGGAGTGCTTTTTGGTGTCTGGTGGAAAAAGAAGTATCTTTATGTAATAACTAGAGAGAAGCATTCTGACACACTTCTTTGAGATGTGTGCATTCATCTCACAGAGTTGAACCTTTCTTTTGATTGTGCAGTTTTTAAACAATGTTTTTGTAGAATCTACAAGTGGACATTTGGAGCGCTTTGAAGCCTATGGTGGAAAAGGAAATATCTTCACATAAAAACTAGAAAGAAGCATTCTGACAAACTTCTTTGTGACGTGTGCATTCATCTCACAGAGTTGAAACTTTCCTTTGATTGAGCAGCTTTAAGCACCTTTTTTGTAGAATCTGCGAGTGGACTTTTGAAGCGCTTTGAAGCTTATGGTGAACAAAGGAATATCTTCACATAAAAACTAGACACAAGAATTCTGACAAACTTCTTTGTGATTTCTTTATTCGTCTCAGAGAGGTGACCCTTACTTTTGATTGAGCAGATTTGAAACACTTTTTTTGTAGAATCTGGAAGTGGACATTTGGGGCCCTTTGAGGCCTATGGTGGAAATGGAAATATCTTCACATAAAAACCAGGCAGAAGCATTCTGATAAACTTCTTTGTGATCTGTGCATTCATCTCACCGAGTTGAACATTTCTTTTGATTCGGCAGCTTTGAAACACTCTTTTTTTTGAATCTGCAAGTGGACATTTGGAGCGCTTTGTATCCTATGGTGGAAAAGGATATATCATCACATAAAAACTAGATAGAAGCATTCTGACAAACTTGTCTGTGATGTGTGCATTCATCTCACAGAGTTGACCCTTACTTTTCATTGTGGAGTTTTGAAACACTGTTTTTGTAGAATCTGCAAGTGGACATTTGGAGGGCTTTGAGGCCTATAGTGTAAAAGGAAATATCTTCACAAAAAAACTAGACAGAAGCATTCTGACAATCTTATTTGTGATGTGTGCAATCATCTCACAGAGTTTAACCTTTCTTTCGATTGAGCAGCTTTGAATCACTCTTTTTGTAGAATCTGCAAGTGGATATTTTGAGCGCTTTGAGGCTTATGGTGGAAAAGGAAATACCTTCACATAAAAACTAGACAGAAGGATTCTGACAAAATTCTTTGTGATGTGTGCATTCATCAGAGAGTTGAACCTTACTTTTCATTGAGCAGTTTTGAAACACTCTTTTTGTAGAATCTGCAAGTGTACATTTGGGGTGCTTTAAGGCCTTTATTGGAAAAGGAAATATCTTCATATAAAAACTATACAGAAGCATTCGGACAAACTTTGTGACGTGCGTTTTCATCTCACAGAGTTAAAACTTTCTTTTGATTCAGCAGCTTTTAAACACCCTTTTTGTAGGATCTGCTAGGGGACATTTGGAGCGATTTGAGGCCTATGGTGGAAAAGGAATTATCTTCACATAACAACTAGACAAAAGAATTCTGAGAAACTTCTCTGTGATGTGTGTGTTCATGTCACAGAGTTGAACCTTTCTTTTGATTGAGCAGTTTGGAATCTCTTTTTGTAGAATCAGCAAGTGGACATTTGGAGGGCTTTGCAGCTATGGTAGAAAAGGATATATCGTCACATAAAATCTAGACAGAAGCAATCTGATAAACTTGTTTTTTTATTATTATTATTATACTTTAAGTTTTAGGTTACATGTGCACAAACTGCAGGTTACTTACATATGTATACAAGTGCCATGCTGGTGAGCTACACACACTAACTTGTCATCTAGCATTAGGTATATTTCCCAATGCTATCCCTCTCGCCTCCTCGCAACCCGCAACAGTCCCCAGAGTGTGATGTTCCCCTTCCTGTGTCCATGTGTTCTCATTGTTCAATTCCCACTTATGAGTGAGAACATGCTTTGTTTGTTTTTTTGTTTTTGCGATAGTTTACTGAGAATGATGATTTCCAGTTTCATCCATGTCCCAACAAAGGACATGAACTCATCATTTTTTATGGCTGCATAGTATTCCATGGTGTATATGTGCCACATTTTCTTAATCCAGTCTATCATTGTTGGACATTTGGGTTGGTTCCAAGTCTTTGCTATTGTGAATAGTGCCGCAATAAACATACGTGTGCATGTGTCTTTATAGCAGCATGATTTATAGTCCTTTGGGTATATACCCAGTAATGGGATGGCTGGGTCAAATGAGATTTCTAGTTCTAGATTCCTGAGGAATCGCCACACTGACTTTCACAATGGTTGAATTCGTTTACAGTCCCACCAACAGTGTAAAAGTGTTCCTATTTCTCCACATCTTCTCCAGCACCTGTTGTTTCCTGACTTTTTAATGATTGTCATTCTAACTGGTGTGAGATGGTGTCTCATTGTGGTTTTGATTTGCATTTCTCTGATGGCCAGTGATGATGAGCATTTTTTCATGTGTTTTTAGGATATCCAGGAATTGAACTTAGCTCTGCACCAAGCAGACCGAATAGACATCTATAGAACTCTCCACCCCAAATCAACAGAATATACATTTTTTTCAGGACCACACCACACCTATTCCAAAATTGACCACATAGTTGGAAGTAAAGCTCTCCACAGCAAATGTAAAAGAACAGAAATTATAACAAACTGTCTCTCAGACCACAGTACAATCAAACTAGAACTCAGGATTAAGAAACTCACTCAAAACCACTCAAATACATGGAAACTGAACAACCTGCTCCTGAATGACTACTGGATACATAACAAAATGAAGGCAGAAATAAAGATGTTCTTTGAAACAATGAGAACAAAGAAACAATATACCAGAATCTCTGGGACACATTCAAAGCAGTGTGTGAGGGAAATTTATAGTACTAAATGCCCACAAGAGAAAGCAGGAAAGATCCAAAATTGACACCCCAACATCACAATTAAAAGAACTAGAAAAGCAAGAGCAAACACATTCAAAAGCTAGTAGAAGGCAAGAAATAACTAAAATCAGAGCAGAACTGAAGGAAATAGAGACACAAAAAACCCTTCAAAAAATTAATGAATCCAGGAGCTGGTTCTTTGAAAGGATCAACAAAATTGATAGACCACTAGCAAGACTTATAAAGAAAAAAAGAGAGAAAAATCAAATAGATGCAAGAAAAAATTATAAAGGGGATATCACCACCGATCCAACAGAAATACAAACTACCATCAGAGATTAATACAAACACCTCTATGCAAATAAACTAGAAAATCTAGAAGAAATGGATAAATTCCTTGACACATACACTCTCCCTAGACTAAACCAGGAAGAAGTTGAATCTCTGAATAGACCAATAACAGGAGCTGAAATTGTGACAATAATCAATAGCTTACCAACCAAAAATAGCCCAGGACCAGATGGAATCACAGCCGAATTCTACCAGAGGTACAAGGAGGAACTGGTACCATTCCTTCTGAAACTATTCCAATCAATAGAAAAAGAAGGAATCCACCCTAACTCATTTTATGAGGCCAGCATCATCCTGATACCAAAGCCGGGCAGAGACACAACAAATAAAGAGAATTTTAGACCAATATCCTTGATGAACATTGATGCAAAAATCCTCAATAAAATACTGGCAAACCGAATCCAGCAGCACATCAAAAAGCTGATCCACCATGATCAAATGGGCTTCATCCCTGGGATGCAAGGCTGGTTCAATATAAGCAAATCAATAAACCTAATCCAGCATTTAAACAGAACCAAAGACAAAAAACACATGATTATCTCAATAGATGCAGAAAAGGCCTTTGACAAAATTCAACAACGCTTCATGCTAAAAACTCTGAATAAATTAGGTATTGATGGGATGTATCTCAAAATAATAAGAGCTATGTATGACAAACCCACAGCCAATATCACACTGAATGGGCAAACACTGGAAGCATTCCCTTTGAAAACTGGCATAAGACAGGGATGCCCTCTCTCACCACTCCTATTCAACAGAGTGTTGGAAGTTCTGGCCAGGGCAATCAGGCAGGAGAAGGAAATAAAGGGTATTCAATTAGGAAAAGAGGAAGTCTAATTGTCCCTGTTTGCAGACGACATGATTGTATATCTAGAAAACCCCATTGTCTCAGGCCAAAATCTCCTTAAGCTGATAAACAATTTCAGCAATGTCTCAGGATACAAAATCAATGTACAAAAATCACAAGCATTCTTATACACCAATAACAGACAAACAGAGAACAAAATCATGAGTGAACTCCCATTCACAATTGCTTCAAAGAGAATAAAATGCCTAGGAATCCACCTTACAAGGGACATGAAGGACCTCTTCAAGGAGAACTACAAACCACTGCTCAAGGAAATAAAAAAGGATACAAGGAAATGGAAGAACATTCCATGCTCATGGGTAGGAAGAATCAATATTGTGAAAATGGCCATACTGCCCAAGGTAATTTATAGATTCAATGTCATCCCCATCAAGCTACCAATGATTTTCTTCACAGAATTGGAAAAAACTACTTTAAAGTTCATATGGAACCAAAAAAGTGCCCGCATCACCAAGTCAATCCTAAGCCAAAAGAACAAAGGTGGAGGCATCATACTACCTGACTTCAAACTATACTACAAGGCTGCAGTAACCAAAACAGCACGGTACTTGTACCAAAACAGACATATACATCAATGGAATAGAACAGAGCCCTCAGAAGTAATGCCGTATATCTACAACTATCTGATCTATGACAAACCTGAGAAAAACAGGCCATGGGGAAAGGATTCCCTATTTAATAAATGGTGCTGGGAAACTGGCTAGCCATATGAAGAAAGCTGAAACTGGATCCCTTCCTTATACCTTATACAAAAATCAATTCAAAATGGATTAAAGACTTAAACGTTAGACCTCAAACCATAAAAACCCTAGAAGAAAACCCAGGCATTACCATTCAGGACATAGGCATGGGCAAGGACTTCATGTCTAAAACAACAAAAGCAATGGCAACAAAAGCCAAAATTGACAAATGGGATCTAATTAAACTAAAGAGCTTCTGCACAGCAAAAGAAACTACCATCAGAGTGAACAGGCAACCCACAAAATGGGAGAAAATTTTCGCAACCTACTCATCTGACAAAGGGCTAATATCCAGAATCTACAATGAACTCAAACAAATTTACAAGAAAAAAACAAAGAACCCTATCAAAAAGTGGGTGAAGGACATGAACAGACACTTCTCAAAAGAAGACATTTATGAGGAAATTCTTTGTGATGTGTACATTCATTTTACAGAGTTAAAACTTTATTTGATTGAGCAGTTTCGAAACTCACTTTTTGTAGCATCTGCAAGCGTACATTTGTAGCACTTTGCATCTTGTGGTAGAAAAGGAAATATCTTCACATAAAATCTACACAGAAGCAATCTGAGATACTTCTTTGTGATGTGTGCATTCATCTCACAGAGTTAAAACTTTCTCTTGATTGAGGAGTTTTGAAACCCTCTTTTTGTAGAATCTGCAAGTGGACATTTGGAGCACTTTGTGGCCTATGGTGGAAAAGTTAATATTTTCACATAAATAATAGACAGAAGAATTCTGAGAAACTTCTTTGTGATGTATGCGTTCATCTCACAGATTTGAAACTTTCTTTTGATTGAGCAGTTTGGAAACACTCTTTTTGTAGAATCTGCAATGGACAATTGGAACGCTTTGCATCTTATGGTAGAAAAGGAAATATCTTCACATAAAATCTAGAGAGAAGAAATCTGAGAAACTTATTTGTGATGTGTGCTTTCATCTCAGAGAGTTAAACTTTTCTTTTGATTTAGTAGTTTTGAAACACTCTTTTTGCAGAAACTGCAAGTGGAGATTTGGGGTGCTTTGGGGTCTATAGTGGAAAAGGAAATATCTTCACATAAAAACTTTACAGAAGAATTTTGACAAACTTCTTTGTGATGTGTGTGTTCATCTCACAGAGTTGAACGTTTCTTTTGATTCGGCAGTTTGGAAAAAAATCATTTGTAGAATCTGCAAGTGGACATTTGGAGCGCTTTGCAGCCTATGGTAGAAAAGGAAATATCTTCATAAAAAACCTAAACAGAGGCAATCTGAGAATCTTCTCTTTGATGTGCATTTTCATCTCACAGAGATAAACCTTTCTTTTGATTGAGCAGTTTTGAAACTCTCTTTTTGTAGAATCTGCAAGTGGACATTTGGAGCGCTTTGAGGCCTTTGGTGGAAAAGGAAATAACTTCACATAAAAACTAGAAAGAAGAATTCTGAGACACTTCTTTGTGATGTGTGCGTTCATCTCACAGAGTTGAACTTTCCTTTGATTGAGCAGTTTGGAAACACTCTTTTTATACCATCGGCAAATGGACATTTGGGGCGCTTTTGGGCCTATGTTAGAAAAGGAAATATCTTCACATACAATCTAGACGGAAGCATTCTGAGAAATTTCTTTATGATGTGTGAGTTCATCTCACAAAGTTGAACATTTCTTTTGATTGAGCACTTTGGAAACACTCTTTTTGTAGAATCCACAAGTGGACAATTTGGAGTGCTTTGCGGCCTTTGTTAGAAAATGAAATATCTTCAACTAAAATCTACACAAAAGCAATCTGAGAAACTTCTTTGTGATGTGTGCATTCATCTCAAAGAGATAAACCTTTCTTTTGATTGAGCAGTTTTGAAACTCTCTTTTTGTATAATCTGCAAGTGGACATTTGGAGTGCTATGAGGCCTATGGTGGAAAAGGAAATATCTTCACATAAAAACTAGACAGAAGCATTCTGAGAAACTTCTTTGTGATGCATGCATTCATCGCACAGAGTTGAACCTTTCTTTTGGTTGAGCAGTTTGGAAACACTGATTTTGTAGAATTTACAAGTGGACATTTGGAGCGCTTTGTGACCTATGGTAGAAAAGGAAATATCTTCACATAAAACCTAGACAGAAGCAATCTGCGAAACTTCTTTGTGAGATGTGAATTCATCTCATAGAGTTATACCATTCTTTTGATTGAGCAGTTTTGAAACTCTCTTATTGTATACTCTTCAAGTGGACATTTGGATCTCTTTGGATCCTATGGTGGAAAAGGAAATATCTTCACATAAAAACTAGGCAGAGGAATTCTGAGAAACATCTTTGTGATGGGTGTGTTCATCTCACAGAGTTGAACGTTTCCTTTGACTGAGCAGTTTGGAAACACTCCTTTGTAGAATCTGCAAGTGGACATATGGAGCGCTTTGCAGCCTATGGTAGAAACGGAAATATCTTCACATAAAACCTAGACAGAAGCAATTTGAGAAACTTATTTGTGATGTGTGCTTTCATCTCACAGAGTTAAACCTTTCTTTTGATTGAGCAGTTTTGAAAATCTCTTTTTGTGGAATCCGCAACGGACATTTGGAATGCTATGAGGCCTACAGTGGAAAAGGAAATTACTTTGTGAAATTTGTGTTCATCTCACAGAGCTGAAACTTACTTTTGATTGAGCAGTTTGGAAACACTGTTTTTGTAGAATCTGCAAGTGGATATTTGTAGCGCTTTGTGGCATGAGGAGAAAAGGAAATATCTTCACCTAAAGTCTAAACAGAAGCAACCTTAGAAACTTATTTGCAATGTATGCATTCATCTCACAGAGCTAAATCTTTCTTTCGATTGAACAGTTTAGAAACTCTCTTTTTGTAGAATCTGCAAGTGGACATTTGGAGCGCTTTCAGATCTATGGTGGAAAAGGATATATCGTCACATAAAAACTACACAGAAGAATTCTGAGAAACTTCTTTGTGATGTATGCATTCATCTCACAGAGTTGAACCTTTATTTTGATTGAGCAGTTTGGAAGCACTCTTTTTATAGATTCTGCAAGTGGACATTTGCAGCGTTTGGTGGCCTATGGTAGAAAAAGAAATATCTTCACATAAAATCTAGACAGAAGCAATCTGAGAAACTTTGTTGTGATGTGTGCATTCATCTCACAGAGTTAACACTTTCTTTTGATTGTGTAGTTTTGAAACTCTCTTTTTGTAGAATCTACAAGTGGACATTTGGAGCACTTTGAGGCCTATGGTAGAAAAAGAAATATCTTCACGTGAAAACTAGACAGAATAATTCTGAGAAACTTTTCGTGATGTGAGCATTCATCTCACAGAGTTAAACCTTTCCTTTGATTGAACAGTTTTGAAAATCTCTTATTGTAGAATCTACAAGAGAACATTTGGATCGCTTTGTGGCTTTGTTAGGAAAGGAAGAATCTTCACATAAAATCTAGACAGAAGCAATCTGAGAAACTTCTTTGTGATGTGTGCATTCATCTCACAGAGTTAAACATTTCTTTTTCTTGAGCAGTTTTGAAACTCTGTTTTTGCAGAATCTGCAAGTGGACATTTGGAGTGCTTTAAGGCCTATGGTGAAAAAAGGAAATATCTTCACATAAAACTAGATAGAAAAATTCTGAGAAACATCTTTGTGATGCGTGCATTCATAACACAGAAATGAACCTTTCTTTTGATTGAGCAGTTTAAAAACACTCTTTATTTAGAATCTGCACGTGGACATTTGGAGCGTTTTGTGGCCTATGGTAGAAAAGGAAATATCTTCATATAAAATCTAGAAACAAGCAATCTGGGAAACTCCTTTGTGATGTGTGCATTCATCTCACAGGGTTAAAACTTTCTTTTGATTGAGCGGTTTTGAAACTCTTTTTTTGTAGAATCTGCAAGTGGACTTTGGAGTGCTTTGAGGCATAAGTTGGAAAAGGAAATATCTTCACATAAAAACTAGACAGAGGAATTCTCAGAAACTTCTTTGTGTTGTGTGCGTTCATCTCACAGAGTTGAAACTTTCTTTTCATTGTGCCATTTGGAAACACTCTTTTTGCAGAATGTGGAAGTGGACATTTAGAGGGCTTTGTGGCCTATGGTAGAAAAGGAAATATCTTCACATAAAATCTAGACAGAAGCAATCTGAGAAACTTCTTTGTGATGAGAGCATTCATCTTACAGAGTTAAACCTTTCTTTTGATTGAGCAGTTTTTAAACTCTCTTTTTGTAGAATCTGCATGTGGACATTTGGAGTGCTTTGAGGCCTATGGTGGAAAAGGAAATATCTTCACATAAAAACTGGATAGAAGCATTCTGAGAAACTTATTTTTGATGTGTGCATTCATCTGTCATAGTTTAACCTTTATTTTGAAGGACCAGTTTTGAAACACTCTTTTTGAAGAATCTACAAGAGGACATTTTGAGTGCCTTAAGGCCTATGGTGGAGAAGGAAATATCTTCAAATAAATACCATATAGAAGAATTCTGGGAAACTTCTTTGTGATGTGAGCATTCATCTCACCGAGGTGAACCTTTCTTTTCATTGAGCAGTTTGGAAATACTCTTTTTGTAGAAGCTGCAAGTGGACATTTGTAGTGCTTTGCGTCCTGTGGTAGAAAAGGAAATACCTTCACATAAAATCTAGAGAGAAGCAATCTGAGAAACCTGTTTGTGATGTGTGCACTCATCTCACAGAGTTCAACTTTTATTTTGATTGAGCAGTTTTGAAACACTCTTTTTGTAGAATCTGCAAGTGGACATTTGGATCACTTTGTGGCCTATGTTAGAAAAGGAATATCTTTGCATAAAATCTAGACACAAGCCATGTGAGAAACTTCTTTGTGACGTGTGCATTCATCTCACAGGGTTAAACCTATCTTTTAATTGAGCAGTTTTGAAACTCTCTTTGTGTAGAATCTGCAAGTAGACATTTGGAGGGCTCTGAGGCCTATAGTGGAAACAGAAATATCTTCACATAAAAACTAGACAGAAGAATTGTGAGAAACTTATTTGTGATGTGTGCGTTAATCTCACAGATTTGAAGATTTCTTTTGATTGAGCAGTTAGGCAATGCTCTTATTGTAGAATCTGCAAGTGGACATTTGGAGTGCTCTATGGCCTATGGTAGAAAAGGAAATATCTTCACATAAAATCTAGAAAGAAGTAATCTGAAAAAGTTTTTTGTGATGTGTGCATTCATCGCACAGAGATAAACCTGTCTTTTCATTCAGCAGTTTCGGAACTCTCTTTTTGAAGAATCTGCAAGTGTACATTTGGAGCGCTTTGAGGCCTATGGTGGAAGAGGAAATATGTTCACATTAAAACTAGACAGAAGAATTCTGAGAAACTTCTTTATGATGTGTGCATTCGTCTCACTGAGTTGAACCTTTCTTTTGATTGAGCAGTTTGGAAACAATCATTTGTGGAATCTGCAAGTGGACATTTGGAGCGTTTTGCATCCTGTGGTTGAAAAGGAATTATCTTCACATAAATTTTAGACAGAAGCAATCTGAGAAACTTCTTTGTGATGTGTGTGTCCATCTCACAGAGTTGAACCTTTGTTTTGATTGAGCAGTTTGGAAACACTCTTTTTTTAGAATCAGCAAGTGGACGTTTGGAGCGCTTTGCAGCCTATGTTAGAGAAGGAAATATCTTCACATAAAATCTAGAGAGAAACAATCTGAGAAAGTTCTTTGTGATGTCTGCATTTAGCTCAGTGTTGAACCTATCTTTTGATAGAGCAGTTTTTAAACTCTCTTTTTGTAGAATCTGCAATTGCACATTTTTGCGCTTTGCAGCATATGTTAGAAAAGGCAGTCTCTTCACATAAAATCTAGACAGAAGAAATCTGAGAAACTTCTTAGTGATATATGCTTTCATCACACTGAGTTGACACTCTCTTGATTGAGCAGTTTGGAAACACTTTTTTGTAGAATCTACAAGTGGACATTTTGAGCGCTTTGTGGCCTATGGTAGAAAAGGAAATATCTTCAACTAACATCTACACAAAAGCAAAGTGAAAAACTTCTTTCTGATGTGTGCATTCATCTCACAGAGTTAAACCTTTCTTTTGATTAAGCATTTATGAAATTCTCTTTTTGTAAATTCTACAAGTGGACATTTGGAGCGCTTTGAGGACTATGGTGGAAAAGGAAATAGCTTCACATAAAAACTAGACAGAAGAATTCTGAGAAACTTCTTTGTGATATGTGCGTTCATCACACAGAGTTGAACCTTTCTTTGAATTGAGCAGTTTGGAAACACTCTTTTTGTAGAACCTGCAAGTGGACATTTGGAGCGCTTTGAGCCTGTGGTGGAAAAGCAAAAATCTTCACATGAAAACTGGATAGAAGAATTTTAAGAAACTTCTTTGTGATGCGTGGTTTAATCTCACAGAGTTGAACATTTCTTTTGATGGAGCAGTTTGGAAACACTCTTTTTGTAGAATCTGCAAGCAGACATTTGGAGTGCTTTTGGGCCTATTTTAGAAAGAGGAATATCTTCATATAAAAACTAGACAGAAGAATTCTGAGAAACTTTTTTGTGATGTGTGCATTCATCTCACAGAGTTGAACCTTTCCTTGAATTGAGCAGTTTTGACACTCTTTTTGTAGAACCTACAAGTGGACATTTGGAGCTCTTTGCGGCCTCTGTTAGAAAAGGAAATATCTTCACATAAAATCTACACAGTAGCAATCTCAGAAACTTCCTTGTGATGTGTGCATTCATCTCACAGGGTTAAACTTTTCTTTTGATGGAGCAGTTTTGAAACTTCCTTTTTGTAGGATCTGCAAGTGGACATTTGGAGCACTTTGAGGCCTATGGTGGAAAGAAAATACCTTCACATAAAAACTAGACAGAAGAATTCTGAGAAACTTCTTTGTGGTGTGTGCATTCATCTCACATACTTGAAACTTTCCTTTGGTTGAGCAGTTTGGAAACCCTCTTTTTGTTGAATCTGCAAGTGGACCTTTGGAACGCTTTGATGCCTATTGTGGAAAAGGAAATATCTTCACATAAAAATGATACAGAAGAATTCTGAGACATTTCTTTGTGATGTGTGCGTTGATCTCACAGAGTTGAACCTTTCTTTTGATTCAGCAGTTTGGAAACACTCTTTTTCTAGAATCTGCAAGTGGACATTTGGAGCACTTTGGGGCCTGTTGTACTAAAGGAAATATCTTCACATAAAATCTAGACAGAAGCAATCTGAAAAACTTCTTTCTGATGTGTGCGATCATCTCACAGGGTTGAAACTTTCTTTTGATTAAGCAGTTTGGAAACACTCTTTTTGTAGCATCTGCAAGTGGACATTTGGAGCACTTTGAGGCCTGTGGAGGAAAAGCAAAAATCTTCACATAAAAACTAGTCAGAAGAATTTTGAGAAACTTCTTTGTGATGCGTGCGTTAATCTCACAGAGTTGAACATTTCTTTCGATGGAGCAGTTTGGAAACACTCTTTATGTAGAACCTGCAAGCAGACATTTGGAGCGCTTTTGGACCTATTTTAGAAGGGAATATCTTCACATAAAAACTAGACAGAAAAATTCTGAGAAACTTCTTTGTGATGTGTGCATTCATCTCACAGAGTTGAACCTTTCTTTGAATTGAGCAGTTTTGAAACTCTCGTTTTGTAGAACCTGCAAGTGGACATTTGGAGCGCTTTGCGGTCTCTGTGAGAAAAGGAAATATCTTAACATAAAATCTACACAGTAGCAATCTGAGAAACTTCGTTGTGATGTGTGCATTCATCTCACACAGTTAAAACTTTCCTCTGATTGAGCAGTTTTGAAACGCTCTTTTTGTAGAATCTGCAAGTGGACATTTGGATCGCTTTGCCACCTACTTTAGAAAACTAAGTATCTTTACATAAAATCTAGACAGAAGCCATAAGAGAAACCTCTTTGTGTTGTGTGCATTCATCTCACAGAGTTAAAGCCTTATTTTGACTGAGCAGTTTTGAAACTCTCTTTTTGTAGAATCTGCAAGTGGACATTTGGAGTGCTTTGAGGCCTATGCTGGAAAACGAAATATCTTCACATAAAAACTAGACAGAAGAATTGTGAGAAACTTACTTGTGACTTGTGCGTTAATCTCTCAGATTTTAACATTTCTTTTGATTGAGTAGTTAGGCAATGCTCTTATTGTAGAATCTGCAAGTGGACATTTGGAGCGCTTTGTGGCCTATGGTAGAAAAGGAAATATCTTTACATAAAATCTAGAAAGAAGCACACTGTAATAGTTTTTGTGATGTGTGCAGTCATCTCACAGATATAAACCATTCTTTTGATTGAGCAGTTTTGGAACTCTCTTTTTGCAGAATCTGCAAGTGGACATTTGGAGCGCTTTGAGGCCTATGGTGGAAGAGGAAATATGTTCACATAAAAACTAGACAGAAGAATACTGACAAACTTCTTTGTTATTTGTGCATTCATCTCACTGAGTTGAGCCTTTCTTTTGATTGAGCAGTTTGGAAACAATCTTTTTGTAGACTCTGCAAGTGGACATTTGGAGCACATTGCATCCTGTGGTTGACAAGGAAATATTTTCACATAAATTGTAGACAGAAGCAATCTGAGAAACTTCTTTGTGATGTGTGCGTTCATCTCACAGAGTTGAACCTTTATTTTGATAGAGCAGTTTGGAAACACTCTTTTTGTAGAATCTGCAAGTGAACGTTTAGAGCGCTTTGCGTCCTCTGTTAGAAAAGGAAATATCTCACATAAAATCTAGACAGAAGCAATCTGAGAAACTTCCTTATGCTCTCTGCATTCATCTCACAGAGTTAAAACTTTCCTTTGATTGAGCAGTTTTGAAACTCTTTTTGCAGAAACTGCAAGTAGAAATTTGGAGCGCTTTGAGGCCTATGGTGGAAAAAGAAATATCTTCAAATAAAAACTAGACAGAAGAATTCTGAGAAACTTCTTGGTGATGTGTACATTCAACTCACAGAGTTGAACCATTCTCTTGATTGAGCAGTTTGGAAACACTCTTTTTGTAGAATCTGCAAGTGAACATTTGGAGTGCTTTGCAGCCTATGGTAGAAAAGGAAATATCTTCACATAAAATCTAGATGGAAGCAGTCTGAGAAACTTCTTCATGATGGGTTAGTTCACCTCACAGAGTTAAAACTTTCTTTAGATTGAGCAGTTTTGAAACTCTCTTTTTGTAGAATCTACAAGTGGACATTTAGAGAGCTTTGAGGCCTATGGTGGAAAAGGAAATACCTTCACATAGAAACTAGACAGAAGAATTCTGAGAAACTTCTTTGTGATGTGTGCGTTCATCTCACAGAGTTGAACCTTTCTTTGGATTGAGTAGTTTGGAAACACTCTTTTTGTAGAATCTGCAGGTGGACTTTTGGAATGCTTTATGGCCTACGGTAGAAAAGGAAATATCTTCACATAAAATCTAGGCAGAAGCAATCTGAGAAACTTCTTTGTGATGTGTGCATTCATCTCACAGAGTTAAAGCTGTCTTTTGATTGAGCAGTTTTGAAACTCTCTTATTGTACTATCTGCAAGTGGACATTTGGAGAGCTTTGAAGCTTATGGTGGAAAAGGAAATATCTTCATATAAAAATTAGATAGAAGCATTCTGAGAAACTTCTTTGTGATGTGTGCATTCATGTCCCAGAGATGAACCTTTCTTTTGAAGGACCAGTTTCGAAGTACTCTTTTTGTAGAATCTGCAAGTGGACACCTCAAGCTCCTTGAGGCCTATATTGGAAAAGGAAATATCATCACATAAAAACTAGACAGAAGAATTCTGAGAAACTTCTTTTTGTTATGGGCGTTCATATCTCTGAGTTGAACTTTTCTTATGATTGAACGGTTTGGAACACTCTTTCTGTAGAATCTGCAAGTGGACATTTGGAGCGCCTTGCAACTTTAGGTGGAAAAGGAAATATCTTCACATAAAATCCAGACAGAAGCAATCTGAGAAACTTCTTTATGATATGTGTATTCATCTCAAAGGGTTAACCCTTTCTTTTGATTGAGCAGTTTTGATACTCTCTTTTTGTAGAATCTGCAATTGGACATTTCTATCGCTTAGAGGCCTATGGTGGAACAGGGTATATCTTCACATAAAAACTAGACAGAAGAATTCTGAGAAACATCTTTGTGATGTGGGTATTCATCTCACAGAGTTGAACCTTTCTTTTGATTGAGCAGTTTGGAAACACACTTTTTTTGGACTCTGCAAGTGGACATTTGGAGCGCTTTGCGGCCTATGGTAAAAAAGGATATATCTTCACATAAAATCTAGACAGACGTAATTTGAGAAATTTCTTTGTGATGTGCACATTCATCTCGCAGAGTCCAACTTTTCTTTTGATTTAGCAGTTTAGAAACTCTCTTTTTGTAGAATCTGCAGTTGGACATTTTGAGCCCTTTGAGGTCAGTGGTGGAAATGGGAATATCTTCCCATAAAAACTAGACAGAAGAATTCTGAGAAACTTCTTTGTGATGTATGCGTTCATCTCACAGAGCTGAAACTTTCCTTGGATTGAGCAGTTTGGAAACCCTTCGTTTGTACAATCAGCGTGTGGACACTTGGGTCGCTTTGCAGCCTATGTTAGAAAAGGAAATATCTTCACATAAAATCTAGACAGAAGCAATCTGAGAAACTTCTTTGTGATGTGTTCATTCATCTCACAGAATTAAACTTTTCTTTTGATGGAGCAGTTTTGAAACTTTCTTTTTGTAGGATCTACTAGTGGACATTTGGAGCACTTTGAGGCCTATGGTGGAACAGGAAATACCTTCACATAAAAACTAGACAGAAGAATTCTGAGAAACTTCCTTGTGGTGTGTGCATTCATCTCACATACTTGAAACTTTCCTTTGGTTGAGCAGTTTGGAAGCCCTCTTTTTGTTGAATCTGCAAGTGGACTTTTGGAGGGCTTTGCAGCCTATGGCAGAAAAGGAAATATCTTCACATAAAATCTAGACAGAAGCAATATGAGAAACTACTTTTTGATGTGTGTTTTCACCTCACAGATTTAAAGCTTTCTTTTGATTGAGCAGTTTTGAAACTCTGTTTTTGTAGAATCTGAAATTGGACATTTGGAGCATTTTGCTGCCTGTGGTAGAAAGGGAAATATCTTCACGTAGAATCTGACAGAAGCAATCTGAGAAGCTTCTTAGTGTTGTGTGCATTCATCTCACAGACTTAAACCTTTCTTTTGATTGAGCAGTTTTGAAATTCTATTTTTGTAGAATCTGCAAGTGGACATTTGGAGCACTTTGATGCCTATTGTGGAAAAGGAAATATCTTCACATAAAAACTATACAGAAGAATTCTGAGACATTTCTTTGTGATGTGTGCATTGATCTTACAGAGTTGAACCTTTCTTTTGATTCAGCAGTTTGGAAACACTCTTTTTCTAGAATCTGCAAGTGGACATTTGGAGCACTTTGGGGCCTGTTGTACTAAAGGAAATATCTTCACATAAAATCTAGACAGAAGCAATCTGAGAAACTTCTTTCTGATGTGTGCAATCATCTCACAGGGTTGAAACTTTCTTTTGATTGAGCAGTTTGGAAACACTCTTTTTGTAACATCTGAAAGTGGACATTTGGAGCGCTTTGAGGCCTGTGGTGGAAAAGCAAAAATCTTCACATAAAAACTAGAAAGAATAATTTTGAGAAACTTCTTTGTAATGCGTGCATTAACCTCACAGAGTTGAACATTTCTTTTGATGTAGCAGTTTGGAAACTGCTCTTTTTGTAGAATCTGCAAGCAGACATTTGGAGTGCTTTTGGGCCTATTTTAGAAAAGGGAATATTTTCACACAAAAACTAGACAGAAGAATTCTGAGAAACTTCTTTGTGATGTGTGCGTTCATCTCACAGAATTGAAACTTTCTTTTGATTGAGCAGTTTGGAAACAGACTTTTTGTAGAATCTGTAAGGGGACATTTTGAGCACTTTGAGGCCTATGGTGGAAAAGGAAATATCTTCAAATAAAAACTAGACAGAAGAGTTCTGAGAAACATCTTTGTGATATGTGCCTTCATCTCACAGAGTTAAAGCTTTCTTTTCATTGAGCAATTTGGAAACACTCTTTTTGTAGAATCTGAAAGTGGACATTTGGAGCACTTTGAGGCCTGTAATGGAAAATGAAATATCCTAGACAGAGTTTTGTGGCCTTCAGTAGAAACGGAAATATCTTCACATAAAATCTAGACAGAAGAAATCTGAGAAACTTCTTAGTGATGTGTGCATTCATCCCACAGATTTAAACTTTTCTTTTGATGGAGCAGTTTTGAAAATCTATTTTTGTAATATCTGCAAGTGGACATTTTGAGTGATTTGAGGCCTATGGTGGAAAAGGAAATATCTTCACATAAAAGGTAGACAGAAGAATTCCGAGATACTTCTTTGTGATGTGTGAGTTCGTCTCACAGGATTGAAACTTTCTTTTCATTCAACAGTTTGGAAACACTCTTTTTGTAGAATCTGCAGGTGGATATTTGGAGTGCTTTGTGGCCTATGGCAGAAAAGGAAATATCTTCACGTAAAAACTATATAGACGCATTCTGGGAAACTTCTTTGTGATGTGTATGTTCATCTCACAGAGTTGAACCTTTCTTTGGATTGAGCATTTTGGAAACACTCTTTTTGTAGAATCTGCAAGAAGCAATCTGTGAAACTTCTTTGTGATTTGTGTATTGATCTCACAGAGTTAACCCTTTCTTTTGATTGAGCAGTTTTTAAACTCTCTTTTTGTCGAATCTGCATTTGTACATTTGGAAGGCTTTGAGACCTACGGTGAAAAAGGAATTATCTTCTCATAAAATCTAGAAAGACAAATTCTGAGAAACTACTTTGTGATGTGTGCGTTCCTCTCACAGAGTTGAAACTTTCTTTTGTTTGGGCCGTTTGGAAACACTCTTTTTGTTGAATCTGCAAGTGGACATTTGGAGCACTTTGCGGCCTGTGGCAGAAAAGGAAATATCTTCACATACAATCTAGACAGAAGCAATCTGACATAATTCTTATTGATGTGAGAATTCATCTGACAGAGTTAAACTTTTTTTTGATGACGCAGTTTTGAAACTATTTTTGTACGATCTGCAAGTGGACATTTGGAACACTTTGAGGTCTATGGTGGAAAAGGAAATATATTCAAATAACAAATTTACAAGAAAACAACAAACAACCCCATCTAAAAGTTGGTGAAGGACATGAACAGACACTTCTCAAAAGAAGACATTTATGCAGCCAAAAAACACATGAAAAAATGCTCATCATCACTGGCCATCAGAGAAATGCAAATCAAAACCACAATGAGATACCATCTCACACCAGTTAGAATGGCAATCATTAAAAAGTCAGGAAACAACAGGTGCTGGAGAGGATGTGGAGAAATAGGAACACTTTTACACTGTTGGTGGGACTGTAAACGAGTTCAACCATTGTGGAAATCAGTGTGACGATTCCTCAGGGATCTAGAACTGGAAATACCATTTGACCCAGCCATCCCCTTACTGGGTATAGGCCCAAGGGACAACAAATCATGCTGCTACAAAGAAACATGCACACGTATGTTTATTGTGGCACTATTCACAATAGCAAAGACTTTGAACCAACCCAAATGTCCAACAATGATAGACTGGATTAAGAAAATGTGGCATGTATACACCATGGAATACTATGCAGCCATAAAAAATGATGAGTTCATGTCCTTTGTTGGGACATGGATGAAATTGAAAATCATCATTCTCAGTAAACTATCACAAGAACAAAAAAACAAACACTGCATATTCTCACTCATAAGTGGGAATTGAACAATGAGAACACATGGACACAGGAAGGGGAACATCACACTCTGGCGACTGTTGTGTGGTGGGGGAGGGGAAAGGATAGCATTGGGAGATATACCTAATGCTAGATGACGAGTTAGTGGGTGCAGCACATCAGCATGGCACATGTATACATATGTAACTAACCTGAACAATGTGCACATGTACCCTAAAACTTAAAGGATAATAATAAAAAAATAAAAATAATAAAAAAATACTAGACAGAAAAATTCTGAGAAACTTCTTTGTGATGTGTGCTTTAATCTCACAGAGTTGAACCTTCCTTTTGATTGAGCAATTTTTAAATGCTCTTTTTGTAGTATCTGCAAGTGGACATTTGTAGCACTTTGCGGCCTATGGTAAAAAAGGAAATACCTTCACATAAAATCTATACAGAAGTGATCTGAGAAACTTCTTTGTGATGTGTGCGTTCATATCACAGAGTTGAGCTTTTCTTTTGATTGAGCGCTTTGGAAACTCTCTTTTTGTAGAATCTGCAAATGGACATTTGGAGCGCTTTCTGGTCTATGGTAGAAAAGGAAATATCTTCACATGAAATCTAGACAGAAGCAATCTGAGAAACTTCTTTAGGATGTGTGCCTCCATCTCACAGAGTTAAATCTTTCTTTTGATAGAGCAGTTCTGAAACTCTCTTTTTGCAGAATCTGCAAGTGGATATTTGGAGCAATTTGAGGCCTATGGTGGAAAAGGTAATATCTTCAAATAAAAACTACACAGAAGAATTCTGACAAACTACTCTGTGATGTGTGCATTCATCTCACATAGTTGAACTTTCTTTCAATTGAGCAAGTTGGAAACATTGTTTTTGTAGCTCCATGTGGATATTTGCAGAGGTTTGAGGCCTATGGTGGAAAAGGAAATATCTTCACATAAAAACTAGACAGAGGAATTCTGAGAAACTTCTTTGTGTTGTGTGTGTTCATCTCACAGAGTTGAAACTTTCTTTTGATTGAGCAGTTTGGAAACACTCTTTTTGTAGAATCTGCAAGTGGATATTTGGAGCGCTTTGCAGCCTATTGTAGAAAAGGAAATACCTTCACATAAAATCCAGACAGAAGCAATCTGAGAAACTTCTTTGTGGTGTGTGCGTTCATCTCAGAGTTAACACTCTCTTTTGATTGTGCAGTTTTGAAACTCTCTTTTTGTAGAATCTGCAAGTGGACATTTGGAGCACTTTGAGGCCTTTGGTGGAAAAGGACATATTTTCACATAAAAACTACACAGAATAATTCTGAGAAACTTTTTGTGATGTGTTATACCTTTCTCACAAAGTTGAACCTTTCATTTGATTCAGCAGTTTGGAAACACTCTTTTTGTAGAATCTACAAATGGACATTTGGATCACTTTGCGGCCTATTGTAGAAAAGGAAATATCTTCACTTAAAATCTAGACAAAAGCAATCTCAGAAACTTCTTTGTGATGTGTGCATTCATCTCAAGAAGTTAAACCTTTATTTTCATTGAGTAGTTTTGAAACTCTCTTTTGCAGAATCTGCAAGTGGACATTTGGAGTGCTTTGAGGCCTATAGTGCAAAAGGAAATATCTTCACATAAAAACTAGATAGAAGCATTCTGAGAAACTTCTTTGTGATGTGTGCATTCATCTCTCAGAGTTGAAGCTTTCTTTTGGTGGAACAGTTTTGAAATACTCTTTTTGTAGGATCTGCAAGTGGACATTTTGAGAGCCTTCAGGCCTAAGGTGGAAAAGGAAGTATCTTCATATAAAAACTAGACAGAAGAATTCTGACAAACTTCTTTGTGATGAGTGCGTTCATCTCACAGAGTTGAACATTTCTTTTGATTAAGCAGTTTGGAAACACTCTTTTTGTAGAATCTGCAAGTGGACATTTGGAAAGCTTTGTGGCCTATGGTAGAAAAGGAAATATCATCACATAAAATCTAGACAGAAGCAATCTGAAAGACTTATTTGTTATGTGTGCATTCATCTCACACAGTTAAACTTTTTTTTGATTGAGCAGTTTTGAAACTCTCTTTTTGTAGAATCTGCAAGTGGACATTTGGAGCGATTTGGGGCCTGTGGTGGAAAAGAAATTATCTTCACATAAAAACAAGGCAGAAGAATTCTGAGAAACTTCTTTGTGATGTGTGCATTCATCTCCCAGATTTGAACCATTCTTTTGACAGACCAGTTAAGAAATACACTTTTTGTAGGATATGCAAGCGTACATTTTTAGCGCTTTAAGGCCTATGGTGGAAAAGGAAATATCTTCATATAAAAACCAGTCAGAAGAATTCTGAGACACTTATTTGTGATGCGTGCATTCATCTCACAGGGTTGAACCTATCTTATGATTGAGCAGTATTGAAACACTCTCTTTCTAGAATCTGCAAGTGGATATTTGGAGTGCTTTGAGACCTACTGTGGAAAAGGAGATATCTTCACATAAAAACTACACAGAAACATTCTGAGAAACTTCTTTGTGATGTGTGGATTAATCTCACAGTGTTCAACCTTTATTTTGATTGAGCAGTTTTGAAACACTGTTTTTGTAGAATCTGTAAGTGGATATATGGAGCCCTTGGAGTCCTACGGTGGAAATGCATATATCTTCACATAAAAGCTGCACAGAAACATATTGAGAATTTTCTTTTTATTGAGCAGTTTTGAAACACTCTTTTTGTAGTATCTGCAAGTGGATATTTGGAGCACTTTGAGGCCTATTGTGGAAAAGGAAAGATGTTCACATAAAAACTACAGAGAAGCATTCTGAGACACATCTTTGTGATGTTTGCATTCAACTCACAGAGTTGTACCTATCTTTTGATTAAGCAGTTTTGCATCTCTCTTTTTGTGGAATCTGCAAGTGGATAATTGGAGCCCTATGCCACCTACGGAGGAAAAGGAGATATCTTCAAATAAAAACTACACAGAGGCATTCTGAGAAACTTCTTTGTGATGTATGTTTTCATCTCACAGAGTTGTACCTATCTTATGATTAAGCAGTTTTGAAACACTCTCTTTGTAGAATCTGCAAGTGGATACTTGGAGTGCTTTGAGGCCTATACTATGGCAAAGAAATATCTTCACATAAAAACTACACAGAAGCATTCTGAGAAACTTCTTTGTGATGTGTGCATTCATCTCACAAAATTCCAACTTTCTTTTGATTTGGCAGTTTTCAAACACTGTTCTTGTAGAATCTGCAAGTCGGTATTTGCAGGGTTTTGAGGCTTACCACGGAAAAGCAAATAGCTTCACATAAAAAATACACAGAACCATTCTGAAAAACTTCTTTGTGATGTGTGCATTCATCTCACAGGGTTGAACCTATCTTATGATTGAGCAGTTTTGAAACATTGTCTTTCTAGAATCTGCAAGTGGATATTTGGAGCGCTTTGAGGCTTACTGTGGAAAAGGAAATATCTTCACATAAATACTACACAGAAACATTCTGAGAAGCGCATTATTGATGTGTGTATTCAACTCACAGTGTTGAACCTCTCTTTTCATCGAGCAGTTTTGAATCTGTCTTTTTGTAGAATCTGCAAGTGGACATTTGGAGCCCTTTCTGACATATGGAGGAAAAGGAAATATCTTCCAATAAAAACTACACAGAAGCATTCTCAGAAACTTCTGTGTGATGTGTACATTCATCTCAGAGAGTTGAAACTTTCTTTTGATTGAGCAGTTTTTAAACACTCTTTTTTTAGAAATTGCAAGTGGATATTTGGAGCGCTTTGAGGCATATTATGGTAAAGGAAATATCTTCACATAAAAACTACACAGAAGCATTCTGAGAAACTTCTTTGTGATGTGTGCATTCAACCCACAGAGTTGAACCCGTCTTTTGATTGAGCAGTTTTGAATCTCACTTTTTGTAGAATGTGCAAATGGATATTTGGAGCCCTTTGCGGTATATGGTAGAAAAGGAAATATCTTCACATAACAACTACTCAGAAGTATTCTGATAAACTTCTTTGTGATGAGTGCATTGAACTCATAGAGTTGAACATATCTTTTTACTGAGCAGTTTTGAATCTCTCTTTTGTAGAATCTTCAAGTGGATATTTGGAGCTCTTTAAGGCCTACGTTGGAAAAGGAAATATCTTCAAATATAAACTACACAGAATCATTCTGAGAAAATTCTTTGTGATGTATGCATTCATCTCACAGAATTGAAACTTTATTTTGATTGGACAGTTTTGAAACACTCTTTTTGTAGAATCTACACGTGGATATTTTGAGCACTTTGAGGCCTATAGTGGAAAAGGAAACATCTTCACATAAAAACTACACGAAAGCATTCTGAGAAACATCTTTGTGATGTGTGCATTCAACTCACATTGTTGAACCAATCTTTTGATTGAGCAGTTTTGAATCTCTCCTTTTGTAGAATCTGCAAGTGGATAATTGGAGCCCTTTGCCACCTACAGAGGAAAAGGAAATATCTTCAAATAAAAACTACACACATGCATTTTGAGAAACTTCTTTTTGAAGTGTACATACAACTCACAGAGTTGAAACTATCTTCTGATTGAGCAGTTTTGAATCTCTCAATATTTTTTTTTTTGTAGAATATTCAAGTGGATATTTGGAGTCCTTTGTGACCTATGGAGGAAAAGGAAATATCTCCCAATAAAAACTACACAGAACCATTCTCAGAAACTTCTTTGTGATGTGTGCATTAATCTCACAGAGTTGAAACTTTCTTTTGATTGAGCAGTTTTCAAACTCACTTTTTATAGAAACTGCAAGTGGATATTCAGAGCGTATTGAGGCCTATTGTCGAAAAGGAAATATCTTCACATAAAAATTACACAGAAGCATTCTGAGAAACTTCTTTGTGATGTGTGCATAAGTCTCACAGAGTTGAAGCTATCTTATGATTGAGCAGTTTTGAAACACTCCCTTTGTAGAATCTGCAAGTGGATACTTGTGGCGCTTTGAAGTCTATTGTGGCACAGAAATATCTTCCAGTAAAAACTACCAGAAACATTCTGAGAAACTTCTTTGTGATGTGTGCATTCATTTCACAGAGTTGAACCTTTCTTTTCATTGAGCTGTTTTGAAACACTGTTTTTGTAGTATCCGCAAGCGGATATGTGGAGCGATTTGAGGCCTTCTGTGGAAAAGCAATTATTTTCATGTTAAAGATACACAGAAGCATTCTGAGAAACTTCTTTGTGATGTGTGCATTCATCTCACGGAGTTGAACCTACGTTATGATTAAGCAGTTTTCAAAAACTCTTTTTGTAGAATCTGCAAGTGGATATTTGGAGCGCTTTGAGGCATATTGTGGAAAAGGAAATATATTCACATAAAAACTACACAGAAGCATTCTGAGTAACTTCTTTGTGATTAGTGCATTCATCACACAGAGCTGAACCTTTCTTTTGATTGAGCAGTTTTGAATCTCTCTCTTTGTAGAATCTGCAAGTGGATACTTGGATTGCTATCTGGCCCGTTGTGGAAAAGGAAATGTCTTCACATGAAAACTACACAGAAGGATTCTGACAAACTTCTTTGTGATGTGTGCATTCATCTAACAGATTTCAACCATTATTTTGATTCAGCAGTTTTGAAACACTATTTTTGGAGTATCTGCAAGTGGGTATTTGGAGGGCTTTGAGGCCTCCTGTGGAAAAGCAAATATCTTCACATAAAAACTACACAGAAGCATTCTGAGAAACTTCCTTGCGATGTGTGCATTCATCACATAGAATTGAAACTTTCTGTTGATTGAGCAGTTTTTAAACACACTTTTTGTAGAATATGCAAGTGGATATTTGCAGTGCTTTGATTCCTATTGTGGAAAAGGAAATATCTTCACATAAACACTACACAGAAACATTCAGAGAAAGTATTTTGTGACGTGTGCATTAAAATCACAGAGTTGATATTATTTTTTGATTGAGCAGTTTTGAATCTCTCTTTTTGTAGAATCAGCAATTGGATATTTGGAGCCCTTTGCATCCTATGGAGGAAAAGGAAATATCTTCACCTGAAAACTACACAGAAGCATTCTGAGAAACTTCTTTGTGATGTGTGCATTCATCTCACAGAGTTGAACCTAAAGTATAATTCAGCAGTTCTAAAACACTGTTTTTGTAGAATCTGCAAGGGGATATTTGGAGCGCTTTGAGGCCTACTGTGGAAAATCAAATATCTTCACATAAAAACTACACAGAATCATTCTGAGAAACTTCGTTGGGCTGTGTGCATTCATCTCACAGAGTTGAACCTATCTTATGATTGAGCAGTTTTGAAAAACTCTCTTTGTAAAATCTGCAAGTGTATACTTGGAGCGCTTGGAGGCCTATTGTGGCAAAGAAATATCTTCACATAGAAATTACACAGAAGCATTCATAGAAACTTCTTTGTGGTGTGTGCATTCATCTCACAGAGTTGAAACTTTCTTTTCATTGAGCACTTTTGAAACCCTGTTTTTGTAGTATCTGCAATGGAAATTTGGAGCGCTTTGAGCCCTACTGTGGAAAAGCAAATATCTTCACATAAAAACTACACAGAAGCATTCTGAGATACTTCTTTGTGATGTCTGCATTCATCTCACAGAGTTGAAACTTTCTTTTGAATGAGCAGTTTTGTAACACTCTTTTTGTATAATATGAAAGTGGATATTTGCCGTGCTTTGAGTCCTATTGTTGAAAAGGAAATATCTTAACAAAAAAAATACACAGAAGCATCCTGAGAAACTACTTTGTGATGTGTGCATTCAACTCACAGAGTTGAACCAATCTTTTGATTGTGAAGTTTTTAATCTCTCTTCTTGTAGAATCTGGAAGTGGATATTTGGAGCCCTTTGTGGCCTATGGACGATAAGGAAATATCTTCTAGTAAACACTACAGAGACGCATACTGAGAAACTTCTTCGTGATGTGTGCCTTCATATCACAGAGTTGAACCTATCTTATGATTGAGCAGATTTGAAACATTTGATTTGTAGAATCTGCAAGTGGATATTTGGAGTGCTTTGAGGCCTCCTGTGGAAAAGCAAATATCTTCACATTAAAATTATACGGAAGTATTCTGAGAAACTTCTTCGTGATATGCGCATTCATCTCACAGAGTTGAAACTTTCTTTTGATTGGACAGTTTTGAAACACTGTTTTTGTAAAACCTACAAGTGGATATTGGAGCACTTTGAGGCCTACCATGGAAAAGCAAATATCTTCACATAAAAACTACACAGAAGCATTCTGAGTAATTGCTTTGTGATGTGTGCATTCATCTCCTGGAGTTGAACCTTTCCATTGAACGAGCAGTTTTGCAATACTCTTTTTGTAGAATCTGCAAGTGGATATTTGGAAAGCTTTGAGGTCTATTGTGGAAAACGAAATATCTACACATAAAAACTACACAGAAGCATTCTGAGAAACTACTTTGTGATATGTGCATTAGACTCACAGAGGTGAACTTATCTTTTGATTGAGCAGTTTTGAATCTCTCTTTTTGTAGAAGCTGTAAGTAGATATTTGGAGCCCTTTGGGGCCCATGGAGGAAAAGGAAATATCTTCAAATAAAAGCTACACACAAGCATTCTGAGAAACTTCTTTGTGATGTGTGCATTCATCTCACAGAGTTGAACCTATCTTATGATTCAGCAGTTTTGAAACACTGTTTTTGTTGAATCTGCAAGTGGATATTTGGAGCGCTTTAAGGCCATCTGTGGAAAAGCAAGTATCGTCGGATAAAAACTACACAGAATCCTTCTGATAAATATCTTTGTGATGTGTGCACTCATCTCACAGAGTTGAACCTATCTTATGATTGATCAGTTTTGAAACATTCTTTCTGTAGAATCTGCAAGTGGATTATTGAAGTGCTTTCAAGTCTATTGTGGAAAAGGAAATATCTTAACATAAAAACTACACAGAAGCATTCTGAGAAACTTCTTTGGGATGTGTGCATTCATCTCACAGAATTGAGTGTATCTTATGATTTAGCAGTTTTGAAACACTCTCTTTGTAGAATCTGCAAGTGGATTTGGAGCGTTTTGAGGCTTTTTGTGGAAAAGGAAATATCTTCACATAAAAACTACACAGAATCATTCTGAGAAACTTCTTTGTGATGAGTGCGTTCATCTCACAGATTTCAACATACCTTCTGATTGAGCAGTTTTGAATCTCTCTTTCTGTAAAATCTGCAAGTGGATATTTTGAGCCCTTTGTGGCCTATGGTGGAAAAGGAAATATCTTCACATAAAAACTTCACAGAAGCATTTTGAGAAACTTCTTTGGTTGTGTGCATTCAACTCAAAGTGTTGAAATTATGTTTTGCTTGAGCAGTTTTGCATCTCTCTTTTTGTAGAATCTGCAATTGGATATTTGGAGCCCTTGCGGCATATGGAGAAAAAGGAAATATCTTCAAATAAAAACTACACAGAAGCATTCTGAGAAAATTCTTTGTGTTGTGTGCATTCATCTCATAGATTTGAAACTATCTTATGATTGAGCAGTTTTGAAACTCTGTAAAATCTGAAAGTGGATAACTGGAGGGCTTTCAGGCCTTTTGTGAAAAAGGAAATATTTTCACATAAAAACTACACAGAAGAATCCTGTGAAACTTCTTTGTGATGTGTGCATTCATCTCACAGAGTTGCACGTTTCTTTTGATTGTGCACATTTGAAACACTGTTTTTGTAGAATCTGCAAGTGGATATTTGGAGCCCTTTGTGGCCTATAGTGGAAAAGGAAATATCTTCAAATAGAAACTACACAGAAACATTTTGAGAAACTTCTGTGTGAAGTGTGCATTCATCTCACAGAGTTGAACTTTTGTTTTGATTGAGAAGTTTTGAAACATTCTTTTTGTAGAATCTGCAAGTGGATATTTGGAGTGCTTTGAGGCCTATTGTGGAAAATGAAATATCTTCACATAAAAACTACACAGAAGCATTCTGAGAAACTTCTTTGTGATGTGTGCATTCAACTCGCAGAGTTGAACCTATCTTTTGATTGAGCAGTTTTGAATCTCTGTTTTTCTAGAATCTGCAAGTGGATATTTGGAGCCTGTTGTGGCCTATGGACGATAAGGAAATATCTTCTACTAAACACTACAGAGACCCATACTGAGAAACTTCTTCGTGATATGTGCCTTCATATCAGAGATTTGAACCTATCTTATGACTGAGCAGATTTGAAACACTTGCTTTGTAGAATCTGCAAGTGGATATTTGGAGCGCTTTGAGGCCGCCTGTGGAAAAGCAAATATCTTCACATTAAAATTATATGGAAGTATTCTGAGAAACTTCTTCATGAGGTGTGCATTCATCTCACAGAGTTGAAACTTTCTTTTGATTGGACAGTTTTGAAACACTGTTTTCGTAAAACCTACAAGTGGATATTAGAGCACTTTGAGGCCTACTGTGGAAAAGCAAATATCTTCACATAAAAACTACACAGAAGCATTCTGACTAATTTCTTTGTGATGTGTGCATTCATCTCACAGAGTTGAACATTTCCCTTGAATGAGCAGTTTTGAAACCTTTTTTTGTAGAATCTGCAAGTGGATATTTGGAAAGCTTTGAGGTCTATTGTGGAAAACGAAGTATCTACACATAAAAACTACACAGAAGCATTCTGAGAAACTACTTTGTGATGTGTGCATTAGACTCACAGAGGTGAACTTGTCTTTTGATTGAGCAGTTTTGAATCTCTCTTTTTGTAGAAGCTGCAAGTGGATATTTGGAGCCCTTTGCAGCCCATGGAGGAAAAGGAAATACCTTCAATTAAAAACTGCACAGAAGCATTCTGAGAAACTTCTTTGTGATGTGTGCATTCATCTCACAGAGTTGAACCTATCTTATGATTCAGCAGTTTTGAAACACTGTTTTTGTTGAATCTGCAAGTGGATATTTGGAGTGCTTTGAGGCCATCTGTGGAAAAGCAAGTATCGTCGGATAAAAACAACACAGAATCCTTCTGATAAATATCTTTGTGATGTGTGCATTCATCTCACAGAGTTGAACCTATCTTATGATTGATCAGTCTTGAAACATTCTTTTTGTAGAATCTGCAAGTGGATAATTGGAGCACTTTCAAGCCTATTGTGGAAAAGGAAATATCTTAACATAAAAACTACACAGAAGCATTCTGAGAAACTTCTTTGGGATGTGTGCATTCATCTCACGGAATTGAGCCTATCTTATGATTTAGCACTTTTGAAACACTCTCTTTGTAGAATCTGCAAGTGGATATTTGGAGCATTTTGAGGCTTTTTGGGGAAAAGGAAATACCTTCACATAAAAACTACACAGAAGCATACTGAGAAACTTCTTTGTGATGAGTGCATTCGTCTCACAGATTTCAACATACCTTCTGATTGAGCAGTTTTGAATCTCTCTTTCTGTAAAATCTGCAAGTGGATATTTTGAGCCCTTTGTGGCCTATGGTGGAAAAGGAAATATCTTCACATAGAAACTTCACAGAAGCATTCTGAGAAACTTCTTTGGTTGTGTGCATTCAACTCAAAGTGTTGAAATTATGTTTTGCTTGAGCAGTTCTGCATCTCTCTTTTTGTAGAATCTGCAATTGGATATTTGGAGCCCTTTGTGGCGTATGGAGAAAAAGGAAATATCTTCAAATAAAAACTACACGAAGCATTCTGAGAAACCTCTTTGCGATGTGTGCTTTCATCTCACAGATTTGAGCTTATGATAGAGAAGTTTTGAAACACTCACTTTTTAGAAGCTGTAAGTGGATAATTGGAGTGTTTTAAGGCCTAATGTGGATAAGGAAATATCTTCACATGAAAACTACACAGAACCATTCTGAGAAACTTCTTTGTGATGTGTACATTCATCTCACAGAGGTAAACCTGTCTTTTGATTGCGCAGTTTTGACTCTACCTTTTGGTAGATTGTGCAACTGAATATTTGGAGACTTTTGCACCCTATGGAGGAAAAGGAAATATCTTCAAATAAAAACTTCGCAGAAGCATTCTGAGAAACTTCTTTGTGATGAGTGCATTCATCAGACGGAGTTGAACACTTCTTTTGATGAAGCAGTTTCAAAACAGTCTTGTTGAAGAATCTGCAAGTGCATATTTGGAGCACTTTGGGGTCTACTTTGGAATAGCAAATATCTTCGCATAAAAAATACACAGAAGCCTTCTCAGAAACTTCTTAGTGATGTGGGCATTCATCTCACAGAGTTGAACTTTTCTTTTGATAGAGCAGTTTTGAAAAACTCTTTTTGTAGAATCTGCAAGTGAATATATGGAGCGCTTTCATGCCTATTGTGGAAAAGGAAATATCTTCACATAAAAACTATGCAAAAGCATTCTGAGAAAGTTCTGTGTGATGTGTGCATTCATCTTATGGAGTTGAACCTATCCTTTGATTGAGCAGTTTTGAATCTCTCTGTTTCTAGAATCTGCAAGTGGATATCTGGAGCCCTTTGCAGCCTAGGGTGGAAAAGGAAATATCTTCAAATAAAAACTACACAGAAGCATTCTGAGAAACTTGTTTGTGATGTATGCAATCATTTCACAGAATTGATCCTATCTTATGACTGAGCAGTTTTGAAACACTCTTTTTGTTGAATCTGCAAGTGGATATTTGGAGCACTTTGAAGCCCATTGTATAAAGGGAAATATCTTCACATAAAAACTACACAGAAGCATTCTGAGAAACTTCTTTGTGATGTGTGCATTCATCTCACAGAGTTGAACCTATCTTATGATTTAGCAGTTTGGAAACACTCTCTTTGTAGAATCTGCAACTGGATATTTGGAGCATTTTGAGGCCAACTGTGGAAAAGCAAATATCTTCACATAAAAACTACAAAGAAGCATTCTGATAATCTTCTTTGTGATGTGTGCATTCATCTCACAGAGTTGAACCTTTCTTTTGATTGAGCAATTTTGCAACACACTTTTTGTAGAATCTACAAGTGGATATGTGGAGGCCTTTGAGGTCTCCTGTGTAAAAGGAAATATCTTCACATAAGAACTACACAGACGCATTCTGAGAAACGTCTTTGTGATGTGTGCATTCAACTCACAGAGTTGAACCTGTTTTTTGATTGAGGAGTTTTGAATTTCTCTTTTTGCAGAATCTGCAAGTGGATATTTGGAGCCCTTTGCTGCCTATTTTGGAAAAGGAAATATCTTCAAATAAAAACTACACAGAAACATTCTGAGAAACATCTTTGTTATGTCAGCATTCATCTCACAGAGTTGAATCTATCTTATGATTGAGCAGTTTTTTGAAACTCTGTTTTTGTAGAATCAGCAAATGGATATTTTGAGTGCTTTGTGGCCCATTGTGGAAAAGGAAATATCTTCACATAAAAACTACACAGAAGCATTCTGAGAAACTCCTTTGTGATGTGTACATTCATCTCAAATAGTTGAACATTTCTTTCAATTTAGCAGTTATGAAACACTGTTTTTGTAGAATCTGCAAGTGGATATTTGGAGCACTTTGAGGCCTATTGTGGAAAAACCAGTATCTTCATATAAAAACTACACAGAAGCATTCTGAGAAACTGCTTTGTGATGTGTGAAGTCATCTCCTAGAATTTAACCTTTCTTTTGCTTGAACAGCTTTGGAACACTCTTTTTGTAGGATCTGCAAGTGGATATTTGCGGTGCTTTGAGGACTATTTAGGAAAAGAAAATGTCTTCACATAAAAACTACACAGAAGCATCCTGAGAAACTTCTAGGCGATGTTTGCATTCATCTCACAGAGTTGAACCTTTCTTTTGACTGAGCAGTTTGGAAACACTCTTTTTGTAGAATCTGCTAGTGGATATTTAGAGAGTTTGGGGCCTATAGTGGAAAAGGTAATATCTTCCAAAGAAAACTACACAGAAGCATTCTGAGAAAATTCTTCGTGCTGTGTGCATTCAACTAGGAGAGTTGAACCTATCTTTCGATTGTGCAGTTTTCAATCTCTCTTATTGTAGAATCTGCAAGGGGATATTTGGAGCCCTTTGCAGCCTGTGGTGGAAAAGGAAATAATTTCACATAAAAACTGCACAGAAAAATTCTGAGAAACTTCTTTGTGATGTGTGCATTCATTTCACAGAGTTGAATGTTTATTTTGATTGAGCGGTTTTGAAACACTGCTTTTGAAGAATCTGCAAGTGGATATTTGGAGCAGTTTGAGGGCTACTGTGGAAAAGCAATATCTTCACATGAAAACTACACAGAAGCATTCTGAGAAACTTCTTTGTGATGTGTGCATTCATCTCACAGAGTTGAACCTTTCTTTTGATGGAGCAGTTTTGAATCTCTCTTTTTGTAGAATCTGCAGGTGGATATTTTGAGCCCTTTGCAGCCTATGCAGGAAAAGGAAATATCTAAAAATAAAAACAACACAGATGCATTCTGAGAAACTTCTTTGTTATGTGTGCATTCATCTCACTGTGTGGAACCTATCTTATGATTGAGCAGTTTTGAAACACTCTCTTTGTAGAATCTGCAAGTGGATATTTGGAGCACTTTGAGGCCTATTGTGGAAAAGGAAATATCTTCATATAAAAACTACACAGAAGCATTCTCAGAAACTTCTTTGTGATGTGTGCATTCATCTCACAGAGTTGAATTTTTATTTGATTGAGCACTTTTGAAACATTGTTTTTGTAGAATCTGCAACTGGATATTTGCAGTGTTTTGAGGCCTACTGCAGAAAAGCAAATATCTTCAAATAAAAACTACACAGAGGCATTCTGAGGAACTTCTTTGTGATAGGCGCATTAATCTCAAAGAGTTGAACCTTTCTTTTGATTGAGAAGTTTTGAAACGCTCTTTTTGTAGTATCTGCAAGGGGATATTTGGAGTGCTTTGAGGCCTATTGTGGAAAAGTAAATATCTTCACATAAAAAATACACAGAAGCATTTTGAGAAACTACTTTGTGATGTGTGCATTCAACTCATAAGGTTGAACGTATCTTTAGATTGGGCAGTTTTGAATATCTCTGTTTGTGGAATCTGCAAGTGGATATATGTAGCCCTTTGCAGCCTATGGAGGAAAAGGAAATATCTTCAAATAAAAACTGCACAGACACATTCTGAGAAACTTCTTCGTGATGTGTGCATTCAACTCACAGAGTTGAATCTTTCTTTGGTTGAGTAGTTTTGAAATACTCTTTTTGTAGGATGTGCAAGTGGGTATTTTGAGGGCTTTGAAACCTATTGTGGAAAAGGATATATCTTCATATAAAAATTACACAGAAGCATTCTGAGACACATCTTTATGATATGTGCATTCAACTCACATAGTTAAATCTATCTTTTGATTGAGCAGTTTTGAATCTCTCTTTTTGTAGAATCTGCAAGTGGATATTAGGAGCCCTTTGTGGCCCTTGTGATAAAGGAAATATCTTCACAAAAAAACTACACAGAAGCATTCTGAGAAACTACTTTGTGATGAGTCCATTCACCACACAGAGTTGAAAATTTCTTTGACTGAACAGTTATGAAACACACTTTTTGTACAGTCTGCAAGTGGATATCTGGAGGGCTTTGAGGCCTATTTTGGAACAGGAATTATCTTCCCATAAAAACTACACAGAAGCATTCTGAGAAACTTCTTTGTGATGTGTGCATTCATCTCACAGAGATGAACCTAGTTTTTCATTAAGCGGTTTTGAAACACTGTTTTTGTGAATCTCTAAGTTGATATTTGGAGCACTTTGAGGCCGACATTGGAAAAGTAAATATCTTCACATAAAAACTACACATAAACATTCTGAGAAACTTCTTTGTGATGTGGGCATTCATCTCACAGAGTTGAACCTTTCTTTTGATTGAGAAGTTTTTAATCTCTCTTTCTGTAGAATCTGCAAGGGGATATTTGGAGGGCTTTGAGGCCTGTTGTGGAAAAGTAAATATCTTCACATAAAAACTAAACAGAAACATTCTGAGAAACTTCTTTGTGATGTATGCATTCATCTCACAGAATTGAACTCTTCTTTTGATTGAGCAGTTTGGAAACACGCTTTTTCTAGAATCTGTAAGTGGATATTTGGAGCTCCTTGAGACCTATTTTGGAAAAGGATATATCTTCACATAAAAACTACACAGAAGCATTCTGAGAAACTGCATTGTGATGTGTGCATTCATCTCACAGATTTGAACCTTTTTTTGATTGAGCAGTTTTGAAACACTCTTTTTGTAGAATCTGCAAGTGGATATTTGGAGTGCTTTTAGGTCTATTGTGGAAAAGAAAATATCATCACATAAAAACTATAGAGAATCATTCTGTGAAACTTCTTTGCGTTGTGTTTACTCACCTCATGGAGTTGAAGTTTTCTTTAGATTGAGCAATTTGGAAACACTCTTTTTGTAGAATCTGCAAGTGGATAGTTGGAGTGCTTTTAGGCCTATGGTTGAAAAGGAAATATCTTCACATAAAAACTACTCGGAAGCGTTCTGAGAAACTTCTTTGTGATGTGTGCATTCACCTCACAGGGTTGAAACTTTCTTTTGATTGAGCAGTTTTGAAACACTCTTTTTCTAGAATGTGCAAGTGGATATTTGCAGGGCTTTGTTGACTATTGTGGAAAGGGAAGTATGTTCACATAAAAATTACACAGAAGCATTCTGAGAAATTTCTTGTGAAGTGTGCATTCACCTCACAGAGTTGAAACTTTCTTTTGATTAAGCATTTTTGAAACACTCTTCTTGTACAATCTGCAAGTGGATATTTGGAGCCCTTTGAGGCCTATTGTGGAAAAGGAAATATCTTCACATAAAAAGTAATCAGAAGCATTCTGAGAAACTTCTTTGTGATGTATGCATTCATCTCACAGAATTGAACCCTTCTTTTCATTAGCACTTTGGAAACTCTCTTTTTGTAGAGTCTAGAAGTGGACATTTGGAGCTCTTTGAGGTCTATTGTGGAAAATGAAATATCTTCACATAAAAACTACACAGAAGCATTCTTAGAAAGTTCTTTGTGATTTGTGCTTTCAACTCACAGAATTGAAACTTTTTTTGATTGAGCAGTTTTGAAACACTCTTTTTGTAGAATCTGCAAGTGGATATTAGGAGTGCTTTGAGGCCTATTGTGGAAAAGGAAATATCTTCACATAAAAACTACACAGAATCATTCTGTGAAACTTCTTTGCGAGGTGTTTACTCATCTCACAGAGTTGAAGTTTTCTTTTGAATGAGCAGTTTGGAAACACTCTTTTTGTAGAATCTGCAAGTGGATAGGTGGAGCGATTTGAGGTCTATGGTGTAAAAGGAAATATCTTCACATAAAAACTACATGGAAGCATTCTGAGAAACTTCTTGGTGATGTTGCATTCATCTCACAGAGTAGAACATTTCTTTTGATTGAGCATTTTTGAAACACAGTTTTTGTAGAATCTGCAAGTGGATATTTGGAGAGCTTTGAGGACTATTGTGGAAAAGGAAGTATCTTCACAAGAAAAGTACACAGAATCATTCTGGGAAATGTCTTGTGACGTGTGCATTCATCTCACAGAGCGCTTTGAGGCCCATTGTGGAAAAGGAAATATCTTCACATGAAAACTACACAGAAGCATTCTGAGAAACTTCTTTGTGATTTTTGCATTCATCTCACGGTGTTTTACCATTCTTTTGATTGAGCAGTTTGAAAACACTCTTTTAGTAGAATCTAAAAGTGGATATTTAGAGCTCTTTGAGTACTATTGTGGAAATTGAAATATCTTCACATAAAAACTATACAGAAGCATTCTGAGAAACTTCTTTGTGATGTGTGCATTCAACTCACAGAGTTCTACCTATCTATTGGTAGAGGATTTTAGAAACTCTCTTTTTGGAGAATCTGCAAGTGAATATTTGGAGCCCTTTATGGCCTACTGTGTAAAAGGAAATACCTTCACATAAAAACTACACAGAAGCACTCTGAGAAACTTCTTTGTGATGTGCACATTCATCTCACAGATTTGAACCTTTCTTTAGACTGAACAGTTTGGAAACTCTCTTTTAATAGAATAAGCAAGTGGATATTTGAAACACTTTGAGGCCTAATGTGGAAGAGAAAATATCTTCACATAAAAATGACACAGAAGCATTCTGATAAACTACTTTGTAATGAGTCCATTAATCTCACGAAGTTGAACCTTTCTTTTCTTTGCGCAGTTTGGAAACAATCTTTACAGAATCTGCAGGTGGATATTTGCAAATTGTGGAAAAGGAAATATCTTCACATAAAAACTGCACAGAAGCATTCTGAGAAACTTCTTTATGATGTGTGCATTCAACTCACAGACTTGAACCTTTCTTTTGATTGAACAGTTTTGAAACACTCTTTTTGTAGATTCTGCAAGTGTATATTTGTAGCCCTTTGAGGCCTACTGTGGAAAAGGAAATATCTTCACATAAAAACTACACAGAAGCATTCTGAGAAACTTCTTTGCGATGTGTGCATTCCCCTCAAAGAGTTTAATCTCTCTTTTTATTGAGCACTTTTGAAACCCCCTTTTTGTAGAATCTGCAAGGGGATATTTGGAGCCCTTTAGGGCCTATTTTGGAAAAGGAAATATCTTCACATAAAAACTACACAAAAGTATTGTGAGAAACTTCTTCATGATGTGTGAATTCGTCTCATAGAGTTGAACCTTTCTTTTCATTGATCAGTTTGGAAACACTCTTTTTGTAACATCTGCAGGTGGATGTTTGGAGCACTTTGTGGTGAATGGTGTAAAAGGAAATATCTTTACATAAAAAGTACGCAGAGGCATTCTGAGACACCTCTTTGAGATGTGTGCATTCAAGTCACCGGGTTGAGCTTATCTTTTTATAGAGCAGTTTTGAAACTCTATCTTTGCAGATTCTGTAAGTGGATACTTGGTGCGTTGTGCAGCCAAGTGTGAAAAAGGAAATACCTTCACATAAAAACCACACAAAATAATTCTGAGAAACTTCTTTGTGTTGTGTGCATTCATCTCACAAAGCTGAACCTTTCTTTTGATTAAGCAGTTTTGAAACACTCATTTTGTAGAATGTGCAAGTCAATGTTTCAAGCACTTTGAGGCCTATTGTGGAAAAGGAAATATCTTCACATAAAAACTACAAAGAAGCATTGTGAGAAACTACTTTGTGACGTGTGCATTCATCACACAGAGTTGAACCTTTCTTTTTATTGAGCAGTTTGGTAACACTCTTTTTGTAGAATCTCCAAGGGGATATTTTTAGCGCTTTGAGATCTTTGGCGGAAAAGGAAATATCTTCACATAGAAACTACACAGAAGCATTCTGAGAAACTTATTTGGGATGTGTGCATTCATCTCAGTGAGTTGAATCTATCCTTTGATTGAGCAGTTTTTAATCACTCTTTTTGTAGAATCTGCAAGTGGATATTTGGAGCACATTTAGACCTATGGTGGAAAAGGAAACATCCTCACATAAAAACTATGAAGAAGCATTCTGAGAAACGTCTTTGTAATGTGTGCATTCATCTCACAGAGTTGAACCTTTCTTTTGATTGAGCAATTTCGAAACACTCTTTTTGTAGAATTTGGACGTGTATATTTGGAGTGCTTTGTGGCCTGTTGTGGAAAAGAAAATATCTTCACATAAACACTAGACAGACGCATTCTGAGAAACTTCTTTGTGATGTGTGCATTCATCTCAGAGAGTTGATCTTTCTTTTGATTGACCAGTTTGGACACACTCTTTTGTAGAACCTGCAAGTGGATATTTGGAGCGCTTTGAAGCCTATGGTAGAAAAGGAAATATCTTCACATAAAAACCACACAGACGCATTCTCAGAAACTTTTTTGTGATGTCTGCATTCGACTCACACAGCTGAACCTATCTTTTGATTGAGAAGTTTTGATTCTCTCTTTTTGTAAAATCTGCAAGTGGATATTTGCAGACCTTTCTGGCCTATTTTGGAAAAGGAAATATCTTCACATAAAAAATAGAAGCATTCTGAGAAACTTCTTTGTGATGTGTGCATTCATATCAAAAAGTTGAACATTTCTTTTGATTGAGTAGTTTCTATTATTATTATACTTTAAGTTTTAGGGTACATGTGCACATTGTGCAGGTTAGTTACATATGTATACGTGTGCCATGCTGGTGTGCTGCACCCACTAACTCGTCATATAGCATTAGGTATATATCCCAATGCTATCCCTCCCCCCTCCTCCCACCCCACAACAGTCCCCAGAGTGTGATGTTCCCCTTCCTGTGTCCATGTGATCTCATTTTTCAATTCCCACCTATGAGTGAGAATATGCGGTGTTTGGTTTTTTGTTTTGCGATAGTTTACTGAGAATGATGACTTCCAATTTCATCCATGTCCCTAAAAAGGATATGAACTCATCATTTTTTATGGCTGCATAGTATTCCATGGTGCATATAGACTGGATTAAGAAGATTTAGCAGTTTTTAAAAAATCTTTTGTAGTGTTTGCAAGGGGATATTTGGAGCGTTTTGGGGCCTATTGTGGAAAAGGAACTATCTTCACATAAAAACTAGACAGAAGCATTCTGAGAAACTTTTGGTGATCTGTGCATTCAACTCACAGATTTGAACCTTTCTTTTGATTGAACAGTTTTGAAACACTCTTTTTGTAGTATCTGTAAATGGATATTTGAAGCGGTTTGAGGTCTATCTTGGAAAAGGAAATATCTTCACATATAAACTAGACAGAAGCATTCTGAGAAACTTCTCTGTGATAAGTGCCTTCATCTCACAGAGTTGAACCTTTCTTTTGATTGAGCAGTTTTGAAACACTCTTTTTGTTGTATATGCAAGTGGCTATTTGGAGCGATTTGTGGTCTGTGGTGGAAAAGGAAATATCTTCACATAAAAACTAGACAGAAACACTCTGAGAAACTTCTTTGTGATGTGTGCATTCATCTCACCAAGATGAACCATTCTTTTGATGGAGCTGTTTTGAAATACTCTTTTTGTAGAATCTGCAAGTGGATATTTGGAGTGCTTTCAGGTCTGTGGTGGAAAAGGAAATATCTTCACATAAAAACTAGACAGAAGTATTCTGAGAAACTTCTTTGTAATGTGTGCATTCATCTCACAGTGTTGAAACTTTCTTTTGATTGAGGGTTTTGAAACAGTCTTTTTGATGAAACTGCAAGTGGATATTTGGAGCGAATTGTGTCCTATGGTTTAAAAGGAAATATCTTCACATAAAAACTAGACAGAAGCCTTCTGAGAAACTTCTTTGTGATGTGTGCGTTCATCTCACTGGGTTGAATCTTTCTTTTCATCGAGCAGTATTGAAACACCCTTTTTGTAGAATCTGAAAGTCGATATTTGGAGCGATTGTGTCCTATGGTAGTAAAGGAAATATTTTCACAGAAAAACTAGACAGAAGCATTCTGCAAAACTTCCTCGTGATGTGTTCACTTATCTCACCAAATTGACCCATTGTTTTCATTGAGCAGATTTGATACACTCTTTTTGTAGAATGTGCAAGTGAATATTTGGAACTCTTTGATGAGTATGACGGAAAAGGAAATACCTTCACGTACAAACTAGACAGAAGCATTCTGAGAAACTTCTTTCTGATATGTGCATTCAACTCACTGAGTTGAACCTTTCTTTTGGTTCAGCAGTTTTGAAACACGCTTTTTGAAGAATCTGTAAGTGGCTATTTGGAGTGCTTAGGGGCCGATGGTGGAATGGAAATATCTCCACATAAAAAACTTGACGGAAGCATTCTGAGAAACTTCTCTGTGATGTGTGCATTCATCAGAGAGAGTTTAACCTTTCTTTTGACTGAGCAGTTTTGAAACTCTCTTTTTGTAGAATCTGCAAGTGGACATTTGGAGCCACTTGAGGCCTATAGTGGAAAAGGGAATATCTTCACATAAAAGCTACACGGAAGCATTCTGAGAAACTTCTTTGTGATGTACAGATTCCTCTCACAGATTTGAAAATTTCTTTTGATTGAGCAGTTTTGAAATGTTCTTTTTGGAGAATCGGCCAGTGGATATTTGGAGCGCTTTGAGGACTATGGTGGAAAAGGAAATATCTTCACATAAAAACTAGAGGAAACATTCTGAGAAACTTATTTGTGATGTGTGCATTCCTCTCACAGAGTTGAACATTTCTTTTGATTAAGCAGTTTTGAAACACTCTTTTTGTAGAATCTGCTAGAGGATATTTGGAGCTCTTTGAGGCCTATGGAGGAAAAGGAAATATCTTCACTTAAAAACTAGACAGAAGCATTCTGATAAACTTCTTTGTGATGTGTGCATTCATCTCACAGAGTTGAACCTTTCTTTTGATTGAGCTGTTTTGAAACACTCTTTTTGAGGAATCTGCAAGTGGATATTTAGAGCGCTTTGAGGCGTATGGTGGAAAATGAAACATCTTCACATAAAAACTAGACAGCAGCATTCTGAGAAACTTCTTTGTAATGTGTGCATTCATCTCACAGAACTTAACCTTTCTTTTGATTGAGCAGTTTTGAAACACTCTTTTTGTAGAATCTGCAAATGGATATATGGATCATTTTGAGGTCTACGGTGCAAAAGGGTATATCTTCACATAAAAACTAGACAGAATCTTTCTCAGAAACTTCTTTGTGACGTGTACATTCATCTTACAGTGGTGAACCTTTCTTTTGATTCAGCAGTTTTCACTCTTTTTGTAGAATTTGCAAGTGGATATTTGGAGCGCTTAGGGGCCTATGGTGAAAAAGGAAATATCTCCACATAAAAAATTGATGGAAGCATTCTGAGAAACTTCTTTGTTGTGTGCATTCAACTCACAGAGTAGAACCTTTCTTTTGATTTAGCAGTTTTGAAACACTCTTTTTGTAGAATCTGCAAGTGGATATTTGGAGCCCTTTGTGGCCCACAGTGGAAATGGAAATATCTTCACATAAAAACTAGACAGAAGCATTCTGAGAAAGTTCTTGGTGATGTGTGCATTCATCTCACAGAGTTAAATTTTTCTTTTGATTGAACAGTTTTGACACACTCCTTTGGAGAATCTGCAAGTGGATATTTGGAGCGCTTTAAGGCCTATTGTGGAAAAGGAAATATCATCAAATAAAAACTACACAGAAGCATTCTGAGAAATTTCTTTGTGATGTATGCATTCATCTCACAGAGAGGAACTTTCTTTTGATTGAGCAGTGTTGAAACACTAATTTTGTAGAATCTGCAGGAGGGTATTTGGAGCGCTTTGCTGCATATGGTGTAAAAGGAAGTATCTTCACATAAAAATTGGGCAGAAGAATTCTGAAAAACTTCTTTGTGATGTGTGCATTCATCTGACAGAGTTGAACCTTTCTTTTGATTGAGCAGTTTTGAAACACTCTTTTTGTAGTATCTGTAAATGGATATTTGAAGCGGTTTGAGGTCTATGGTGGAAAAGGAAATATCTTCACATATAAACTAGACAGAAGCATTCTGAGAAATTTCTCTGTGATTTTTGCATTCATCTCACAGAGTTGAACCTTTCTTTTGATCGAGCAGTTTTGAAACACTCTTTTTGTAGAATCTGCAAGTGAATATTTGGAGTGCTTTTAGGCCTTTGTGGAAAAGCAAATATCTTTGCATCAAAACTAGACAGATGCATTTTGAGAAACTTCTTTGTGATGTGTGCATTCATCTCACAGATTTAAACCTTTATTTTGATTGAACAGTTTTGAAACACTGTTTTTGGTGAATCTGCAAGTGGATATTTGGAGCGCTTAGAGGCCTATGGTGTAAAACAAATATATTCACATAAAAACTAGACAGAAGCATTCTGAGAAACTTCTCTGTGATGTGTGCACTCATCTCACAGAGTTGAACATTTCTTTTGATCGAGTAGTTTTGAAACACTCTTTTTGTACCATCTGCAAGTGTATATTTGGAGCGTTTTGCCTCCTATGGTGCAAAAGGAAATATCTTCACATAAAAACTAGACAGATGCATTCTGAGAAACTTCTTTGTGATATGTGCATTCATCTCACAGAGGTGAACTTCTAGTGCTTTGGACTCATCCAACCCTCAACATTAATTTTAAGAGCTCCTTGATCTTTCCAGCAGGAGAAAAATGAACATGCAAAGCTCTCAGGCTCATTGTTATAATCCTCTCAAGAATCAGTCTCATTAGCAGACAGCAGAGTCTTGATCCCTTGTTTCACCAAACTAACCACTTGGCTGAGAGAAGTTGCTGTTAGTCCTAGGGGAACTTCTCATAACCCTTGCAAGCTCTTCAAGTATTTGTGTATTTTCCCCTTTCAGAAAGTTGTGTTTATCTCAGCATCCCATTGTCATCTCCAAAATTAAATAATTGTGAAGGATCTAAGATTTCATCCTATTTGTAAACGAACCTATTAACCTTCCATTTTCATGGATGCTGGTAGAAGGCATGAGACACTGAAGTATGAAAAAAAAAAACTACTATTTACTGTCTACCTGGAGGCAAAAGCCTCATTTTTGTATTAGTTCTCCTTGTCCATACTACATTTTTTAGAGGGATTTCAAAAGGCTCAGATGGACATTGCACATGGGGAAGATTTGTGTCACAGCTGAGCAGACTCAAGACTAAGAAACCTCAATCTTCTTAAAGTAGGTTACATGCAAACCTGTCCAACCTTTGCCTCACAGAGAAAAATTGTCTTTATTATATTGATTGAGTAATTTATCTGCCATTCACCTGAAGAGAAAAACTACTACCCTTTTTCCAGGTTATTTGTGTACAAAAATCTTTGAAAAATAGCCTGGAACAGGACAGGTATGTGATGTAAGACACAACAAAATGACAAACTCTAAGAGACTTTTATAGAACTACATCTCAGTAGCATGCATCTTTTCCATAAAATGTTGCACTAAACAATCCTGTGATGAAAAAAATCCATTGAAGATTTTTGACATGAAGACTAACTTTTGTTGTTTTGTGTTGTGGGATTGTTCAAGTGATTCTCCTGTGTCAGCCTCCAAAGTAGCTGGAGTACAGGCTCCCACTACCACACTCAGCTTATTTTTCTATTTTTAGTAGAGGCGGGGTTTTACCATGTTAGTCAGGGTGGTCTCGAACTCCTGATCTCAGGTGGTCCGCCTGCCTTGGCCTCACAAAGTGCTAGGAATATAGGCATGAGCCACCATGCCCAGCCCCAGGAATGAAAGTTCTATGTGTGCAGTAATGTAATTCTGACTGATAAATGACAGGTGACAGTAAGTGAAAATCTAACACAATTCAACATTTTTACATATTTAGACATATTGTAATTGGTTAGCTTATTGGAAAAAGTTAAATGACTACCAGTTTATATGGCATATTTATTCTGAATTAATTGCTAATCTAGATTTGAGAGATGAAATAATTATTTTTACAACACAGAAACATAAAGTGCATTTCCATATACCAACAATGAACAATTTGACAGTAAATTAATAAAACAATTGTTTGCAACAACATTAAAATAATATAATTCTTAGAAATAAATTTAATAAGAAGGTACATATTTTGTACAATAAAAAATACAGGATCAGAATATTTATGAAAAAAACTAAAAAGGAGTTAAATAACTGGCAACAAATTCCATGTTCCTGAACCGGAAGACTTAATGAAGTTCAGATGACAATACTACTACCCAAAGTAGTGTACAGATGTACTGTAATCCCAATTTTTAATTTTTCCAACTTTTCTTTTGCAAAAACAAAATAATTCATTTAAAACTTCATATGGAATTTGAAAATCCTCTGAATGTACAGAATAATCTTGAAAGGAAGAACAAAATTAGATGGCTCACAATTTTAAATTTGAAAACATACAAAGCTACTATAATTATAACAGTTTGCTAGTGGCATAAGAACAATTGTAGAGATCAAATAAATAAAATATATAATCAAAAAAACCCTTGCATAAATTATTGATTGTCTTTTGACAAGGGTGCCTTAATCATTATGTAAAGAAAAGGACAGTTTGTTCCACAATAAATGCTGGGAAAACAAGTCCACATTGAAACCAGTAAAGTTTAATCTTTATCACATTCCAAGTACAAAAATTAAATAAAAATAGATTAAAGACATAAGTGTTCAACATTAGTGGTTTCTAATGGTTGTTTTCATTTATGTGGGGTCAGTACTAACATGAACACCTTTATACACACAAACTAGAAAACTTTAAAGAAATGGATACATTACTAGATATACACACTCTCCCAAGATTAAGCCAGGAAGACAATTATTTCCTGAATGGACCAATAAAAAGCTCTGATATTATATAGGTAATAAGTAGCTTGCCAATCAAAAAAATAAAAGCCCTGGACTTTATGGATTTACAGCCAAATTCTACCAAATGTACAAGGAAGAGCTGGTACAATTCCTACAGAAACTATCCCCAAAAATTGAGGAGGACGGTCTCCTCCCCAACTCATTCTATAAGGACAGCATGATCTTGACACCAAAACCTGGCAGAGACACAACAAAAACACAAAATTAGCCGGGCTTGGTAGCAGACACCTGTAGTCCCAGCTACTTGGGAGGCTGAGGCAGGAGAATGACATGAACCCAGGAGGCGGAGCTTGCATTAAGCAGAGATTGCACCAGTGCACTCCAGCCTGGGCAACAGAGGGAGACTCCATCAAAAAAAAAAAAGAAAGAAAGAAAAGAAAATTTCAGGCCAATATTCTTCACAAACATCAATACAAAAGTTCTCAGAAAAATATTTGTAAACCAAATCCAGCAGCACATCAAACAGGTAATCCGTCATTATCAAGTAGGCTGCCTCCTTAGGATGCAAGGTTGGCCCAGCATGTGCAAATCAATAAATGTAATACATCACATAAACAGAACTAAATACAAAAAACAGACGATTATCCCAATAGATGCAGAAAGTAATAAAAGCCGTGTATAAAAAACCCACAGCCAACAATCTGTTGAATGGGCAAAGTTGGGAGCTTTTTTTCTGAAAACCAGCACAAGGCAAGAATGCCCTCTCTCACCATTTCTATTCAACATAGTATTGAAAGTCCTGACGAGAGCAATCAGGCTAGAGAAAGAAATACAAAAAGCATCCAAATAGGAAGAGAGAAAGCCAAACTATTTCTGTTTGCAAATAACATAATTCTATATCTAGAAAACCCTGTAGTTTCAGGTACAAAGCTTCTTTAGTTAACAAACAACTTCAGCGAATTTTCAAGATACTAAATCAATGTGCAAAGATCACTAACATTTCTCTACACCAATGATAACCACACTGACAGCAAAATCAGAAAGGCCATCCCATTCACAATTGCCACAAAAATGATAAAATACCTGGAAATGCAGCTCACCACGGAGGTGAAAGAGCTCTACAGTGAGAATTACAAAACACTGCTCAAATAAATCAGAGAAGACACAAACAAATGGAAAACCACCTCATGCTCATGGATAGGAAGATCCAATATAACTAAAATGGCTATACTTCACAAAGCAATTGACAGATTTAATGCTATTTCCATCAAACTGCCAATAAAATTTTTTACAGAGCTAGAAAAAACTATTTTAAAATTCCTATAGGCTGGGTGCAGTGGCTCACGCCTGTAATCCCAGCACTCTGGGAGGCCGAGGGCTGCAGATCATGAGGTCAGGAGATCGAGACCATCCTGGCCAACATGGTGAAACTCCTTCTCAACTAATTTTTTAATAGCTGGGTGTAGTGGCAAGCGCTTGTAATCCCAGCTACTCGGGAGGCTGAGGCAGGAGAATCCATTGAACCAGGTAGTCAGAGGTTGCAGTGAGCTGAGATTGCACCACTGCACTCCAGCCTGATGACAGAGTGACATTCCATCAAAAAAAAATTATATATATGAAACCAAAAAGGAGCACACATAGTCAAGGCAATCCTAAGCAAAAAAGAACAAAGCTGCAGGCATCAGGTTGCCTGGCTTCAAATTACACTACAGGGCTATAGTAACGAAAACAGCATAATATTGATAAAAACAGACACATAGACAAATGGAGCAGAATAGAGAGCCCAGAAACAAGGCTGCACATCTATGCCATGTGATAATTGACAAGGCTGACAAAAACAAGCAATGAGAAAAAGATTATTTATTCAATAAGTGGTGCTGGAATAATTGGCTGGCAACATGTGGAAGATTGAAGCTGGACCCCTTATTTACATCATATACAAAAAAAAATCAACTCAAGACTGATTGAAGACTTAAATATAAAATCTTTATGTATAAAAACCATGAAAGACAATCCAGGCAATACCATCCTGGATATAGGAATGGGCAAAGATTTCATGATAGAAAGACCAAAAGCAACAGCAAGAAAAGCAAAAATTAACAAGTAGGATTTAATTAAAGTAAAGAGATTTTGCATAGCAGAAAAAAAACTATTAACAGAGTAAACAGAAAACCTATGGAGTGGAAAAAAAAATTTGTAAACTATCCATCTAACAAAGGTCTAATATCTAGCATCTATAAGGAACTTAAATTTACAAAAGAAAAACAACCCCATTAAAAAGTGGGCAAAGACATGAACGGACAGTTTTCGAAAGAAGACATACGTGAGGCCAACAAGTGTATGAGAAAAAGCTCAGAATCAATGATAGTTAGAGAAATGAAAATTAAGTGATCCTTGTGCCTCAGTCTCCCAAATAGCTGGGACTACAAGCAAGCACCACAATGCCCAGCTAATTTTTGAATTTTTAGTAGAGATGGGGTTTTGCCATGTTTCCATGGCTGGTCTCGAACTCCTGAGCTTAAGTGATCTGCCTGCCTCAGCCTCCCAAAGTTTTGGGATTACAAGTGTGAGCCACCATGCCTGGACTCCATTATTCAATCTAAGAACTGCATGCAGAAATGTGTTCAGGTTTTAAAATTTTATTCACTTCTGCACTGATACTTTCAAACCAAATTTTATAGCAGCATCATTTACAGTAAAAAATTTAAAAAGAAATCCAGATATCTTCTAAGAGTCAAACAGATGAAGAAAATATGGTATATACACACAACAGAATATTATTTATCCTTAAAATGAATGTGGGGGGGAGGAGCCAAGAAGGCCGAATAGGAACAGCTCCGCTCTACAGCTCCCAGTGTGAGTGACGCAGAAGATGGGTGATTTCTGCATTTCCAACTGAGTTACCAGGTTCAACTCACTGGGGAGTGCCAGACAGTGGGTGCACTGCACCGTGCATGAGCCGAAGCAGGGCAAGGCATTGCCTCACCAGCGAAGTGCAAGGGGTCAGGGAATTCCCTTTCCTAGTCAAAGAAAGTGGTGACAGATGGCATCTGGAAAATCGGGTCACTCCCAACCTAACACTGTGCTTTTCCAACAGGCTTAAAAAATGTCACACCAGGAGATTATATCCTGCACCTGGCTCAGAGAGTCCTACGTCCACGGAGCCTCACTCATTGCTAGCACAGCAGTCTAAGATCAAACTGCAAAGTGGCAGTGAGGCTGGGGGAGGGACGCCCGCCATTGCTAAGGCATGAGTACGTAAACAAAGTGGCCAGGAAGCGGGAACTGGGTGGAGCCCACCACAGCTCAAGGAGGCCTGCCTGCCTCTGTAGGCTCCACCTCTGGGGGCGGGGCACAGACATACAAAAAGACAGCAGTAACCGCTGCAGACTTAAATATCCCTCTCTGACAGCTTTGAAGAGTGTAGTGGTTCTCCCAGCTTGCAGCTTGAGATCTGAGAATGGACAGACTGCCTCCTCAAGTGGGTCCCTGACTCCTGAGTAGCCTAACTGGGAGGCACCCCCAAGTATGGTTGGACTGAAACCTCACACAGCCTGGTACTCTTTTGAGACAAAATTTCCAGAGGAACAATCAGGCAGCAGCATCTGCAGTTCACCAATATCCGCTGTTCTGCAGTGAGCGCTGCTGATAAGCAGGCAAACAGGGTCTGGAATGGACCTCCAGTAAACTCCAACAGACCTGCAGCTGAGGGTCCCAACTGTTAGAAGGAAAACTAATAAACAGAAAGGACATTCACACCAAAAACCCATCTGTACATAACCATCATCAAAGCCCAAGTTAGACAAAACCACAAAGATGGGAAACAAATAGAACAGAAAAACTGGAAACTCTAAACTTCAGAGCACCTCTCCGCCTCCAAAGGAACACAGCTCCTTACCAGCAATGGAACAAAGCTGGATGGAGAATGACTTCGATGAGTGGAGACAAGAAGGCTTCAGATGATCAAACTTCTCTGAGCTACAGGAGGAGATTCGAACCAATGGCAAAGAAGATAAAAACTTTGAAAAAAAAATAGATGAATGGGTCACTAGAATAACCAATGCAGAGAAGTCCCTAAAGGACCTGATGGAGCTGAAAACCAAGGCATGAGAACTACGTGATGAATGCAGAAGCCTCAGTAGCCGATGCGATCAACTGGAAGAAAGGGTATCAGTGATGGAAGACAAAAGGAATGAAATGAAGAGAGAAGAGAAGTTTAGCAAAAAAGAATAAAAAGAAATGAACAGAGCCTCCAAGAAATACGGGACTATGTAAAAAGACCAAATCTATGTCTGATTGGTGTACCTGAAAGTGACGGGTAGAATGGAACCAAATTGGAAAACACTCTGCAGGATATTATCCAGGAGAACTTCCCCAATCTAGCAAGACAGGCCAACATTCAAATTCAGAAAATACATAGAAGTCCACTAACGTACTCCTCGAGAATAGCAACTCCAAGACACATAATTGTCAGATTCACCAAAGTTGACATGAATGAAAAAATGTTAAGGGCAGCCTGAGAGAAAGGTTGGGTGACCCACAAAGGGAAGCCCATCAGACTAACATCTGGGGGCCAATATTCAACATTCTTAAAGAAAAGAATTTTCAACCCAGAATTTCATTTCCAGCCAAACTAAGCTTCATAAATGAAGTAGAAATAAAATACTTTACAGACACGCAAATGGTGAGAGATTTTGTCTCCAACAGGTCTGCCCTAAAAGAGCTCCTTAAGCTGGTTTTTTGAAAGGATCAAAAAAAGATAGACCACTAGCAAGACTAATAAAGAAAAAAAGAGAACAATCAAATAGACACAATAAACAATGATAAAAGGGATATCACCACCAATCCCATAGAAATACAAACTACCATCAGAGAATACTACAAACACCTCTGTGCAAATAAACTAGAAAATCTAGAAGAAATTGATAAATTAGTCGACACATACACTCTCCCAAGACTAAACCAGGAAGAAGTTGAATCTCTGAATACAACAAAAACAGGAGCTGAAGTTGTGGCAATAATCAATACCTTACCAACAGAAAGGAGTCCAGGACCAGATGGATTCACAGCCGAATTCTACCGGAGGTACAAGGAGGAACTGGTACCATTCCTTCTGAAACTATTCCAATCAATAGAAAAAGAGTGAATCCTCCCTAACCCATTTTATGAGGCCAACATCATCCTGATACCAAAGCCTGGCAGAGACACAACCAAAAAAGAGAATTTTAAACTAACATACTCGATGAACATTGATGCAAAAATCCTCAATAACATACTGACAAACCGAATCCAGCAGCACATCAAAAAGCTTATCCAACATAATCAAGTGGGCTTCATTCTCAGGATGCAAGGCTGGTTCAATATAGGCAAATCAATAAATGTAATCCAGCATAGAAACAGAACCAAACACAAAAACGACATGATTATCTCAATAGATGAAGAAAAGGCCTTTGACAAAATTCAACAACACTTCATACTAAAAACTCTCAATAAATTAGGTATTGATGGGACGTATCTCAAAATAATAAGAGGTATCTATGCCAAACCCATTCATACTGAATGGGCAGAAACTGGAAGCATTCCCTTTGAAAACTGGCACAAGACAGGGATGCTCTCTCTCACCACTCCTATTCAACATAGTGTTGGAAGTTCTGGCCAGGGCAATCAGGCAGGAGAAGGAAATAAAGGGTATTCAATTATGAAAAGAGGAAGTCAAATTGTCCCTGTTTGCAGACAACATGATTGTATATCTAGAAAACCCCATTGTCTCAGCCCAAAATCTCCTTAAGCTGATATGCAAATTAAGCAATGTCTCAGGATACAAAATCAACATACAAAAATCACAAGCATTCATATACACCAACAACAGAAAAACAGAGAGCCAAATCATGAGTGAACTCCCATTCACAATGTCTTCAAAGAGAATAAAATACCTAGGAATCCAACTTACAAGGGATGTGAAGGACCTCTTCACGGAGAACTACAAACCACTGCTCATTGAAATAAAACAGGATACAAACAAATGGAAGAACATTCCATGCTCATGGATAGGAAGAATCAATATCGTGAAAATGGCCATACTGCCCAAGGTAATTGATAGATTGAATGTCATCCCCATCAAGCTACCAATGACTTTCTTCCCAGAATTGGAAAAAACTACTTTAAAGTTCCTATGGAACCAAAAAAGAGCTGGCATCGCCAAGTCAATTCTAAGCCAAAAGAACAAAGCTGGAGGCATCACACTACCTGACTTCAAACTATACTACAAGGATACAGTAACCAAAACAGCATGGTACTGGTACCAAAACAGAGATATAGACCAATGGAACAGAACAGAGCCCTCAGAAATAATGCCGCATATCTACAACTATCTGATCTTTGACAAACCTGAGAAAAACAAGAAATGGGGAAAGGATTCCCTATTTAATAAATGGTGCTGGGAAAACTGGCTAGCCATATGTGGAAAGCTGAAATTGGATCGCTTCCTTACACCTTATACAAAAATCAATTCAAGATGGATTAAAGACTTACATATTAGACCTAAAACCATAAAAAACCTAGAAGAAAACCTAGGCATTACCATTCAGAACATAGGCATGGGCAAGGACTTCATGTCTAAAACACTAAAAGCAATGGCAACAAAAGCCAAAATTGACAAATGGGATCTAATTAAACTAAAGAGTTTCTGCATAGCAAAAGAAACTACTGTCAGAGTGAACAGGCACCTACAAAATGGGAGAAAAATTTCACAACCTACTCATCTGACAAAGGGCTAATATCCAGAATCTACAATGAACTCAAACAAATTAACAAGAAAAAAACAAACAACCCCATCAAAAAGTGGGCGAAGGACATGAGCAGACACTTCTCAAAAGAAGACATTTATGCAGCCAAAAAACACATGAAAAAATGCTCACCATCACTGGCCATCAGAGAAATGCAAATCAAAACCACAATGAGATACCATCTCACACCAGTTAGAATGGCAATCATTAAAAAGTCAGGAAACAACAGGTGCTGGAGAGGATGTGGAGAAATAGGAACACTTTTACACTGTTGGTTGGACTGTAAACGAGTTCAACCATTGTGGAAGTCAGTGTGGCGATTCCTCAGGGATCTAGAACAAGAAATACTATTTGACCCAGCCATCCGATTATTGGGTGTATACCCAAAGGACTAAAATCATGCTGCTATAAAGACACATGCACACGTATGTTTACTGCAGCATTATTCACAATAGCAAAGACTTGGAACCAACCCAAATGTCCAACAATGATAAGAAAATGATAAGGATTAAGAAAATATGGCACATATACACCATGGAATACTATGCAGCCATAAAAAATAATGAGTTCATGTCCTTTGTAGGGACATGGATGAAATTGGAAATCATCATTCTCAGTAAACTATCGCAAGAACAGAAAACCAAACACCGCATAATCTCATTCATAGGTGGGAATTGAACAATGAGAACACATGGACACAGGAAGGGAAACATCACAGTCTGGGGACTGTTGTGGGGTGGGGGGAGAGGGGAGGAATAGCATTCGGAGATATATCTAATGTTAGATGACGACTTAGTGGGTGCGGTGCAGCAGCATGGCACATGTATACATATGTAACTAACCTGCACATTGTGCACATGTACCCTAAAACTTAAAGTATAATAATAATAAAAAAATTTAAAAAAAACAAAAACAAAGATGAGAAATAACCTGTAGTTATATGACTTAAGTTTAGAGTGAGTTTTATTTTTTGCTCTGCTTGATAAGTATTAGGATAATGCAAGTGTATACTATTCAGTTTAAATAGATAAAGAATTATTTAATCATAGCTTCAACGGATGAATGTTCTTTTTGTTCATCTGAATAACTAAAAATAATATTGCTAGTGTAAAATCACTCTCATATTGCTTTGATTTGTAAGGTCAACCTCGTTTAAATAAAAAGAAAAACAATGTTAAAAAAAAAAGAGCTCCTTAAAGAAGCGCTAAACATGGAAAGGAACAACTGGTACCAGCCACTGCAAAAACATGCCAAATTGTAAAGACCATTGAGGCTACAAAGAAACTGCATCAACTAACGAGCAAAATAACCAGCTGACATCTTAATGACAGGATCAAATTCACACATAACTATATTAACCTTAAATGTAAATGGGCTAAATGCTCCAATTATAAGGCACAGACTGGCAAATTGGATAAAAAGTCAAGACCCATCAGTGTGCTGCACTCAGGAAACCCATCTCATGTGCAGAGACAAACATAGGCTCAAAATAAAGGGATGGAGGAAGATCGACCAAGCAAATGGAAAACAAAAAAGGCAGGGGTTGCAATCCTACTCTCTCATAAAACAGACTTTAAACCAACAAAGATCAAAGGAGACAAAGAAGGCCATTACATAATGGTAAAGGATCAATTCAACAAGAAGAGCTAACTATCCTAAATATATATGCACCCAATACAAGATCACCCAGATTCATAAAGCAAGTCCTTAATGACATACAAAGGGACTTAGACTCCCACACAATAATAATGGGAGATTTTAATACCCCACTGTCAACATTAGACAGATCAATGAGACAGAAAGTTAACAAGGATACCCAGGAATTGAAGTCAGCTCTGCACCAAGCGGACCTGATAGACATCTACAAAACTCTCCACCTCAAATCAATAGAATATACATTCTTTTCAGCACCACACCACACCTATTACAAAATTGAGTACATAGTTGGAAGTAAACATTCCTCAGCAAATGTAAAAGAACAGAAATTATAACAAACTGTCTCTCACACCACCGTGCAATCAAGCCAGAACTCAGGATTAAGAAACTCACTCAAAACCACTCAACTACATAGAAACTGAACAACATGCTCCTGAATGATTACTGGGTACATAACGAAATGAGGGCAGAAATAAAGATGTTCTTTGAAACCAATGAGAACAAAGAGACAACATACCAGCATATCTGGGACACATTCAAAGCAGTGTGGAGAGGGAAATTTGTAGCACTAAATGCCCACAAGAGAAAGCAGGAAAGATCCAAAATTGACACCCTAACATCACAATTAAAAGAACTAGAAAAGCAAGAGCAAACACATTCAAAAGCTAGCAGAAGGCAAGAAATAACTAAGATCAGAACAGAACTGAAGGAAATAAAAACACAAAAAAACCCTCAAAAAATTAATGAATCCAGGAGCTGGTTTTTTGAAAGGATCAACAAAATTGATAGACCACTAGCAAGACTAATAAAGAAGAAAAGAGAGAAGAATCAAATAGACGCAATAAAAAATGATAAAGGGATATCTCCCCTGATCCCACAGAAATACAAACTACCATCAGAGAATAATTTAAACAGCCCTACACAAAGAAACTAGAAAATCTAGAACAAATGGATAAATTCCTCGACACATACATCCTCTGAAGACTAAACCAGGAAGGAGCTGAATCTCTGAATAGAACAATAACAGGCTCTGAAATTGAGGCAATAATCAATAGCTTACCAACCAAAAAGTCCAGGACCAGATGGATTCAGTCGAATTCTACCATAGGTACAAGGAGGAGCTAGTACCATTCCTTCTGAAACTATTCCAATCAATAGAAAAAGAGTGAATCCTCCCTAACTCATTTTATGAGGCCAACATCATCCTGATACCAAAGCCTGGCAGAGACATAACCAAAAAAGAGAATTTTAGACCAATATCCTTGATGAACATTGATGCAAAAATCCTCAATAAAATACTGGCAAACCAAATCCAGCAGCATATCAAAAAGCTTATCCATCATGATCAAGTGGGCTTCATCTCTGGGATGCAACAGTGGTTCAACATATGCAAATCAATAAATGTAATCCAGCATAGAAACAGAACCAAAGACAAAAACCTCATGATTATCTCAATAGATGCAGAAAAGGCCTTTGACAAAATTCAACAACATTTCATGCTAAAAACTCTCAATAAATTAGGTATTGATGGGACGTATCTCAAAATAATAAGAGCTATCTATGACAAACCCACAGCCAATATCATACTGAATAGGCAAAAACAGGAAGCATTCCTTTTGAAAACTGGCACAAGACAGGGATGCCCTCTCTCACCACTCCTATTCAACATAGTGTTGGAAGTTCTGGCCAGGGCAATCAGGCAGGAGAAGGAAATAAAGGGTATTCAATTACGAAAAGAGAAAGTCAAATTGTCCCTGTTTGCAGACGACATGATTATATATCTAGAAAACCCCATCGTCTCAATCCAAAATCTCCTTAATCTGATAAGCAACTTCAGCAAAGTCTCAGGATACAAAATCAATGTGCAAAAATCACAAGCATTCTTATACACCAATAACAGACAAACAGAGAGCCACATCATGAGTGAACTCCCATTCACAATTACTTCAAAGAGAATAAAATACCTAGGAATCCAACTTACAAGGGATGTGAAGGAACTCTTCAAGGAGAAATACAAACCACTGCTCAGTGAAGTAAAAGAAGATACAAACAAATGGAAGAACATTCCATGCTCATGGGTAGGAATATGGAAGAATCAATATCATGAAAATGTCCATACTGCCCAAGGTAATTTATAGATTCAATGCCATTCTCATCAAGCTACTAATGGCTTTCTTCACAGAATTGAAAAAATACTACTTTAAAGTTCATTTGGAACCAAAAAAGAGCTGGCATCTCCAAGTCAATCCTAAGCCAAAAGAACAAAGCTGGAGGCATCACACTACCTGACTTCAAACTATACTACAAGGCTACAGTACCCAGTAACCAAAGCAGCATTGTACTGGTACCAAAACAGAGATGTAGAACACTGGAACAGAACAGAACCCTCAGAAATAATGCCACATATCTACAACTATCTGATCTTTGACAAACCTGAGAAAAACAAGAAATGGGGAAAGGATACCCTATTTAATAAATGGTGCTGGGAAAACTGGCTAGCCATATGTAGAAAGCTGAAACTGGATCCCTTCCTTACACCTTATACAAAAATCAATTCAAGATGGATTAAAGACTTACATATTAGATCTAAAACCATAAAAAACCTAGAAGAAAACCTAGGCAATACCATTCAGGACATAGGCATGGGCAAGGACTTCATGTCTAAAACACCAAAAACAATGGCAACAAAAGACAAAATTGACAAATGGGATCTAATTAAACTAAAGAGTTTCTGCACAGCAAAAGAAACTACCATCAGAGTGAACAGGCAACCTGCAGAATGAGAGAAAATTTTTGCAACCTACTCATCTGACAAAGGGCTAATATCCAGAATCTGTAAGGAACTCAAACAAATCAACAAGAAAAAAACAAACAACCCCATCAAAAAGTGGGCGAAGGATATGAACAGACACTTCTCAAAAGAAGACATTTATGCAGCCAAAAAACACATGAAAAAATGCTTATCATCACTGGCCATCAGAGAAATGCAAATCAAAACCACAATGAGATACCATCTCACACCAGTTAGAATGGCAATCATTAAAAAGTCAGGAAACAACAGGTGCTGGAGAGGATGTGGAGAAATAGGAACACTTTTACACTGTTGGTGGGACTGTAAACTAGTTCAACCATTGTGGAAGTCAGTGTGGCGATTCCTCAGGGATCTAGAACTAGAAATACCATTTGACCCAGCCATCCCATTACTGGGTATATACCCAAAGGACTATAAATCATGCTGCTATAAAGACACATGCACACTTATGTTTATTGCAACACTATTCACAATAGCAAAGACTTGGATCCAACCTGAATGTCCAACAACGATAGACTGGATTAAGAAAATGTGGCACATATACACCATGGAATACTATGCAGCCATAAAAAATGATGAGTTCATGTCCTTTGTAGGGACATGGATGAAATTGGAAACCATCATTCTCAGCACACTAGCTCAAGGACAAAAATCCAAACACCGCATGTTCTCCCTCATAGGTGGGAATTGAACAATGAGAACACATGGATACAGGAAGGGGAACATCACACACCATGGACTGTTGTGGGTTAGGGGAAGGGGGCAGGGATAGCATTAGGAGATATACCTAATGCTAAATGATGAGTTAATGGGTGCAGCACACCAACATGGCACATGTATACATATGTAACAAACCTGCATGTTGTTTACATGTACCCTAAAACTTATAGTATAATAATAATAAAATAAAATAAAAATATATAAAAGAGAGGAAGTAAGCTATGCTGATTCCTGATGAGAAAGCATTCCAAGCAAAGGGGACCACACATGCAAAGGCCCTGAGGCAGAAGCACAACTGCCTGGTGTCTTTGAAGATTGAAAAATAGAGGGGAGACTGACTGGACTAGACATCAGAGAAGTGTCAGGGGACAAGATGGTTTAAAACATTCCTAGCCATGGAAGGCTTTAAGCAGATGAAAACATTATTTGCCTTATGCTTTGAAAAGACTTACTCTGGATCACCTGAGGTCAGGAGTTTGAGACCTGCCTGGCCAACATGGCAAAACCCCATCTCTATTAAAAACACAAAAATTAGCAAGGCTTGGTTGTGCATGCCTGTAGTCCCAGCTACTTGGGAGGCTGAGGCAGGAGAATCACTTAAACCCAGGAGTTAGAGGTTGTAGTGAACCCAGATTCCACCACTGCACTCCAGCCTGGGCGACAGAGGAGACTCCGTCTCAAAAAAAAAAAATAAATAAATAAATAAGGACTTACTCTGGTTGCTCAGTGAAGAAAAAAGTACAGGGAGAAAGAGAAAGTGGGAGAGGAGTTGGGAGGCTATTTCCATAATCCATGAAAGCAATGACGTAAAGTGAAGCAGGGTGTACATAATGGGTGTGGCAAGGGAAGCTCAGATTCTTAATACAGTTCAACAGTGTATGCCGATATGAGGTGTAAGAAACAAAGAGGGGTCAAGACAAGTTTTCTGGCCTAATGGCTGGTACACTGGAAGTGCTATTTACTGAGACGGAGACGACTGAGGAGTGTTGGGCCCAGGGGTTGAAGGTGGAGGATCAAGAATTCCCTTATGGATGTGTGGTAGTTGAGTTGTCTATTAGTCTTCCAAGTGGTGATAATCGGCAGATAATTAGATATGAGTCTAAATTTTAGAGGAGAGGTAGGAGCTGGAAATATGTGTTCATGGACCATGCACATATACATGGAATTTAATGCCATTGGGCTTCATGAGATCACAGAGGCAGGAGTGCACCAAGAAAAACGGTTGAGAATGGTTAAAAGGTAAAAGTTCCTTCTACATTTTGAATTTATAGAAATAATGAAACAGTAGCCAGTTGCTGAAACGCTACCCAGTTCAGAGTAAAACAAATTTCCTATTTTATCAAATCATTGAATGCCATTTAAAATTCATAATACTTGCAGAGATCCCAAATATCTTAATAAAGATGAAAGCCCAAGTTCACATTGGTGGCCTAGACTCTGCCTTCCCTGATCGTCTATTTAAAAATAACAATAATGATAATAATAAGAAGAAATATTCATGGATCACTAGATATGGTGAAATACACTCAAAGGTAGTTTCATTTCTTTTCTACTATACCCTTGTAACTATCAGTCTATAAAATAGTTTTATTAGAAAGGCACAGTCACCCTCAAGCCAATAGCAGCTTATAAACACGGGGCAAGGAGCCTGGTGTGGGGAGGCTGAGAAATAATTGAGAGAACCAGTAGATATGAAGCTAACAACACTGTCGAGCAGAATGAGGCAGATAAGCCAGAGGCAGTGCAAATGGCCGGTCAAGACAGGTAGACAGACAGAAGTCAGGAGTGAGAGACGGGAGGTGCAAAGTGCAATAAAACACTCAAGAACCAGTGAATCCATGGGAGCTTACTGCGAGGGGGCGCATGAAGGGAGGAGCATCCAGGTAGAGGGGAAGGAATGGAGGTGTAAGCAGGAGGCAGAAGGGCACAAGCTATTTGATATGTTTGGAGAGCGAGGTGCTTTTCTGAGGCTGAGAAAATAACTGGAAGCCAGAATCTGGAGGACTGGGTAGACCATGTTAAACAGCAAGCACTTGATTCTGCACGTGTTGGACGCCAGTGCAGGGCTTCTAAGCAAGGCAGTGACATGATCACATCACATTTTAGGAAGGGTACAAATTAGGCATGGCCACAGGCAGGAAGACCCGAGAGATCTCTTACAGTCAGGGATAAGAGTCTAAACGACAAGGTGGCCATGAACAAAGAAAGAAGACTGAAGAGACTTTAGAGGGCAGGCCCCACGGGACCTGAGTGAAGGGGTTTGGGAGACTCACAGCTTTCTGCTGTGAAGTCAAGGATATCACAAACTATCGGAATGAAAGAAACAGTCCTAGGGCTAGGGGTAGGTGGATGAATGTGGCTCCATTTTGAACAAGAGGAGAAAATTCAGGTAATTCATTTTGATTGATCAAGCAAAATAATTTGCAGCTGAACATTACAGAAGCAACAACAATTCTTATGATATTAGGGTATAGGAAACAGGCTCAAGAAAGCACAGTATTTCCTGTTTCTCTTCTGATTCAATAAATAATATTTTCTGTTAAGGTTTTTCATAACTGTTATTTTAATTAATCAAAAGGAGACAAGATAAATTTGAAATTAAAAGCATAAGAAAATCAGTTGTCTTTTTAGAAAAGGTGAGTCAGTATTTCCTATGGTCTTAAATCATCCTTCAAATAATGGTCCATGAAACAAATGAGATCCTACTTATCTAGCCTTTTCCTTGATAGATTAAAAACTGTACCAAAATCTTACTATATTGCAAAGACACTAGTTCACTCAATTGAGAATCCTCAGTATACAAACATATAAATCAAGGGAACTTTAAAACCAATCATTGTGTTCAAAATGGGAAGATTATTCCAAATTTTTTCTACATATTTTAGAATAATTTCACAGTTAAACACCCTGTAGCTTATAAAATCATTATCCAGTATTTAATAAAGTATATCTATAACAATATCAACATTGGAATTTAACAGTTTACAAAGCACTTTTGATACATCACATTTACATGAAGGCGGCAACGAGTTCAGTACATTCATGCAGATTAGAAAACAGCAGTTTTTGAAGATTGTATTTGTTCATGTAAGTCAGAAGGTTTGAACTATTTCCTACCCCTGCTATGGGTTTAAGCCTAAGAAATGTTATTCATTATGATTTGGTCTTTAAATAAATCACGAAGGTAGAGGGTAGAGCACACCCCATGAATGCATTGAGGTGCCGTAAGGCTCCAACGCCAGAGGCGGCAGGTTGGAATTTAGTTCAATCACGAACTTGTTATGAGAACTCTGACAAGCTTCAGCTCTAAAGTAAGCTTGGAAACACAAAGAAACTCTGCTAAAAATACTGAACACAGACACACACACACACTCCTCTCTTTTAAGACTGGCATAGAAGATGTAAGTGTACCAACAAGCAACCTCCAAAGAGCAAATGAAACAGAAAATTCAAATGAGTGCCTGGTAGGAGTTGTAACTTCAACAAAGTGCCTCTCATATCTGCCTCATAAACCCGTACTCATTTTTCACAACTAACTCAAATAGCACCTCCTCAGTGACACCTTCCCTGTTCTGCCTACAGATATATCTGCAGACCTAGTTTATCCTCTCGCCCAGAACACAGGGCATCTTATACAGGGGGCTCTATCTACAAGGGGCTCTATGCTTTGACAGGAACTGTGAACCTATGGGCAGCAGTTTTTCAATTCATGTTTGTGGCTCTCATTACAAATGTCCTGCCTCAGGCACCCAGCAGGTGGTAATAAATGCTGGTTGAACACTAAAACCTTGGAATGCTACATCATTATTCTAAAGGATAGTCATTTTTTAAAACATTTTGGAAGTTCTTTTGAAACTGACTTTTTAGATTATGAAAATATCTCAGTGATAGGTTTTGATTTTCCAAGTTAGACCTTATTTTATTTTAGAAACCGTCAAAGTTATACAAAACCAAGCATGTGTCTCTGTGCATTTTGTTTTCTCTCCTCCCTTAATGGTAAGGAAGGGTTTCATCTCTTTTATAGGCCAAATGCTCCACAAATGAATGTGTTAACGAATGAACAAATTAATAAATGGCAAGAATGAGAGCTCAAACTGCATAAAAGTATACTTACTTAAAAACGAGATGTGACGATTGCTAACATGTCATAACCAGACTCTGTCCTGACTTCGGCAAGCCACAACTTTGACAATAAAGAGGAAAGAGGATCAAGTCCCTAAATACCGCAGGTGCACTAAGACCTTCTCACGTGCCCGAAGAAGATACACTTGCAGAGGAGAAATGATGATGCAGAGGCCTGCTCCGAGATGCAGGAGGAAGTTTAATTGCCTGTGAATTTGACTGGAATGAAAGTCAAACGAGGTTTGAAAGGAAATAGAGATTGTTAAACTCCTGACTAGGCGATAACTGCCGTCCTTCTCTTCTATCTGTCCCTGTTACTAGGCAATAACTGCCCTCCTTCTCTTCTATCTGCCCCTGTGACTAGGCGATAACTGCCGTCCTTCTCTTATATCTGCCCCTGTGACTAGGCGATAACTGCCCTCCTTCTCTTCTATCTGTCCCTGTGATTAGGCGATAACTGCCCTCCTTCTCTTCTATCTGCCCCTACCTTGGGCCCCACATGACTCAGCACTAAAGTGCCTTGAGCAGGCTCCAGCCCAAAAGTGGCCTCCACGGGCACCACTTCCCTCTCTGCTGTCATGCCTTGCTTTCCTCCTGGCAGGGAAGAAGGAAGGAAGGAAAGAAGACCCTGACCTGGAATCATACACATCATCGCAATTCATCCACACCACAGTCCTGTAAGGTATGTGCCATTGTACTCAGAAAACTGAGGCTCAAAGAGATTGAGCAACTTACCTAAGACCTCACAGGTCCTGAGAGCAGAGCCTGGATTTCAAACACCTGGGAGACTCTGAAATCCATGTTAGCTCTTCTATATATGGGCCCAAAATGCAGCTGTACACCAGCAAGACTGACTTCCTCTTGTGGCTTATCACTATCTCTGAATACAAGAATCTTCAAAATGCTTTATAAACAATAGTAGCATCATGGGAATAAGTTCGCAAGTTCCCAGAATTACTGTTTTAGATGCACTTGAACTTTTTCTCCTTGTATAGAGTCAGGAATAAGGAAAAAGGATCCAAAGGAGAAGGAGAAAAATAAAACGGGACTGAGCCTTATACTTCTGGACCAGAACAGATAATGTTGGGATTTTCCTTCCTTTTTTTCCAGACAAATCCAATAAAGACGTCTGTTTCTGTTACCTAAAACCAACTTGAAAAGTTTGCTCCCTCCTACCTTAAGCGGCTTTGTATAGAGCCCACAGTTGAACGTTGGTTCCAATGGCAAAGGTTAATTTCAAAGTTTTTATAGTGTTATTCAAAGCACGTTTGATTTCAGCCTTGGCAACCATGGGCAGAATGTCAGCAATGCTCCCTCTATTAGCTATTGGAGAGAAAACACTGTGAAACTCTAAGACCTTGGTTATTGGGCCAATGAAACATTTATGCCCTGATCAGATGGAGGAAAACTTCAGCAGGGTTAGTGAGACACCTTCCGAGTGTACCAATGAAGCTCTTGCCTGCTGTTACAGATAAATGACTTTCATTTCACTATTGGCTTGTGCTTGAGAAGGTTATTCAATTGATTCCAGTTTTTTGCAATGCCTTGAAGGCAAATAATGTTGTAGCATCCACTGTACTCATAATACACTGTTTCTTTTCTAAGGAAGGTTGTTGTTATAATACCTTAGATATCAACAGAAAATATTCCACTTCTTATCATATATTAATTTGGCTCTGGAATAAGTAAATGTAACTACCAGAATGCTAATGAGGATGTTACGCTGATGTTTATTTGTGTGTTCTAATCTGTAGATAAACAGCAAGATCTCTTATAATTCATGATTCCAAGTCTCAGGCCACAGCAGGACAAGCATCAAAACATCTATTCTCAATTCGGAGTTGAGATTTCTAATAAGAATTATATTTTATCCATAATCATAAAATAGCACCAGAAAAAGTCAATATCTAAAAATACAGATCATTGAAAAATAGATCTTTCTGCCCTTAACATAAACAAACTGTAAAATCTGAAGTTAAAATTATTCCTTGTACCAGCCTCCTAATTTACCCAGAGTTAACAGAAAAGTTATAGCAGTGCATGAAGCTCTGAGGTTTTGATGGGTGTAGATATAGACATCCAATTCTGCCATTTCACACTAGTCAGAATACCAGTCATAGAAATCCCACAGGAAAAATCATTTCTGAAGGTATCTGGTCTTATGGATTATAAAATTAAACTTTCTTATCATTGTACCTAAACCGAAATATGCTTCCTATACAAAGAAGATTTCTTTCAAGAGTTAAGACCACCTCCCGCCATCCCCCTTAACACACACACACACACACACACACACACACACACACACAGAGAGAGAGAGAGAGAGAGAGAAAGAGAGAGAGAGAATTGAGAGCATTAGTGGTTTTCTCCCTTAGACTGATTTTTTCTTGCTGTTATTTTTAGCCACTTTGTTAACGGTGGGGTTAAAGGGCAGGATAGATGTAACACCCATTTAACATACATGTTGCAACATCAGAGATGCTAGTCTTCGTTAAAAATACTAGTTCTAAATTCCTTCTAAAATATATTTTTAAAAATCAGTACACTTGGTACCTTGGAAATGCTGAAATGTTATCATGAATGCTGGTTATTTGTTATGAGTCAACTGACTATTATCTTCAATATAAACTATAATTTACTGGTCTGAACACTCTTCCTATCTTACCTGTATATACTCAAAGGGAGTAACTTCTCATGTTTAGCAAATTGTTCTTTAGATAATTTGTTCTTTAGCTTTTTTGTACAAAAGTACAAAATAGTTATCACAGCAAACTTTCCAGTATTTATTATTTTGAAGGTATATATTTTGGAGTGAACTTTTTTTTTGCCATGTCAGGCTTGAGCAGGATAGCAAATATATAAATTGAGCTCTCTAATTATAATCTCAATATATGAATTCTTGCTAATTAAAATACTTTGCACAAGCAAAAACAATTGCCACGTATGTGTTTAGGAGGTAGTTAAGTAACTCCATATAAAAATAAGTGCACTTTCCCCTCCTTTCTTCAGTGACTAGAAAACTTCCATACTTTTAAAATAATCAAATAATAATTTAGAGAGCAACAGCCCTCAACTCTTTGCTGGTGCTTATCACACTGCCTTTCTTCACTCCATTCTTAGCTCTGCTAGTTTCTTCTTGTCTGTAATGATAATAAGGGAATGTGGGTGGGTCAGCACTTCTGTGTAGGTCCCCTTTCCAAATTTACCTTCCAAAAAGCCAACCAAATAAACAACCAAAAAATTGTGCAACAAAACACAAATAGCATTCCAACAGCTTGGCAAGTGATGCATTCACCTGAGATTGAGTGGTTTTAGGCGGTCAGTAACAAAAGGCTTCTTTGCTGTCTCAGTAGAAAGGCAACAAATTCTTCAAAGAAACCAAGAAGGTTACTGCCTTGACAACGTCTCTCATTACCGTCCTCCTCTTATGTCCTTTCTCTCCACATTATCTGTTGTGTGTCTACTATAGAAGGCTACAAAACATACAGCAGAAAGGATGGCTTGAAGGCAATTGGTGTTTGTAAATAAATTCACAACAAGGTCCAAGCTGAAGAGGTGAACACATCAGCCGGGTGGGACAATTCTCAGCATGTGCAAACATAGGCAAATTCTAGCCTATGTTACATTGAAAACAATGTCAGTGCATTTTTTTCATGTTAAAGATTTTTTAAAAGCTAAAGCGTGTTCTTTGCTTTGCTGACCACAAACAAGTTTTAAGAGTTTCGGAAGTCTGGCAAAAATAGAAAAAAAAAAAAAAAAAAAAAGCTGAAGCAACATTGAACCGCACAATGTAAGCTTTGGGCATGCACAAATTTTCAAAACAAAGGAAGGAAATCATCCCTCTCTACAACATGGTTAGGCTGATTTTTAAGAAATAAAATGTAAGATATCAGAAAAGCAAATGTTTGGCACCTACATATCCAATATCTGGCACCGTGCAGAGTAGAAGAGTGAAAGAAATAATGAAGAACAAAGTGGTTACTTTGCTTCAGGAGTTCATGATCTATAGTTAGAAACCAATATAAACATTTTGAGTATATTTCAAAGAAAGAGAAAAGCAGGCCGGCTGTGGTGGCTTGCACCTCTAGTAATAACACTTTGGGAGGCTGAGGTGGGAAGATTGCTTGAGCTCATGAGTTTGATACCAGCCTGAGAAACATAGTAAAACCTCATATCTATAAAGAAATTAATTTAAAAAAAGGCAGAGCAAAAACAAATATGAAAGAAAACATTAGAAATCAGAGCTCGGGCAAAGAGTTCAACGTAAGCAAAGCAGCTCTGCCCTGGGGGACCTCTGGAGCATCCCGGCTTCCTGTAGAGGCCCCACCACATGGCCCTTTCCCATCACTGGGAACCGTCTTCTGGATCATGCCAGGATTTTCCCCCAAACTTCTCAACCTAATTTATTCAGCCAAAACATATATATTTCTTGAATCCTTACTAAAAGCAAGGCACTGTTCAACTTAATGAAAATATGTCAACGATATAAAACAAAAATGTTTACCCTATGCAAATTATATTCCAGTGAGAAAAGACAGATCATTAATAAAATAAATATGTAAAATATATAATATGCCAGAAGGTAATAAGTGGCACAGAGAAAAATTAAGTTTGGAAGGGAGCTCAGGAATGCTGGGAGCAGGTAGATGTGAAGGTAGTTAGAATGCTCAAGGAGGGAGTAATAGGCAGAAGAATGGCCTTTTTACATGTCCATATCCCTATATGGCAAAAAGGACTTATGGATGTGATGAAGTTATGGATCATGAGATGAGGAGATTATTCTGGATTACCCATGTTGGCCCAATGTCATCACAAGAGGACTTAAAAGCAAAAGAGGGAGGCAGGAGAGTCTGAGGCAAGAAGCGTGACAGCTAGGGTCAGAATGATGTGGTTGCTGCCTGGAAGGGGGCCAGGGGCCAAGGGATGCAGGCATCCTTTAAAAGCTGGAGAAGGTAAGAAAGTGTTCTCTCTCCCCTAGAGAGAGTGTGTGTTCTTTTAGGCTACTAGAGGTGTGCTAATTTATTCCAGCAATCATAGAAAACTTATATAGATAAGGTCTCACTGAGAAGATAACATTTGAACAAAGATTCCAAGGAGGTGAGGGCACCAGCTATGCAGATATCTGGGGAAGAGCACTCGAGGAAGAAAAGGCAGGCAAACAGCAGGGTGCCTAGCCTATGTGCATGAAGTAGAGAACACTGGGAGTCAGAAGGCTAACAGGAGACAGGTCAGAGAGAGGGACTGGGGTGGGTCAACTCACACTCAGCCTCACTGGCTATTGTAAGAACTTCAAGTTATTCTGAGACACTCAGTATAGGAGAGTCTATGAATATTTATAGAAATTCTGAACGTTTACAAGATGAATAAAAGTTGTATGCTAGCAAACCTATTGGTTGGGTGGGGGGAAGCCCAGATTTGTAGCATTTGCTGATTTCCACTGTGTAAATATTTCTACTGACGGTTTGACAAACACTTCATAAAATTTCTGGGTACTTAATTATCAGCTCCAGGAGAGCGCTGCATGTATGACACCATATTTGCCAATTCCACACTAGATTCTATTGGGAACAAGCTGTATGAGAGTCAACTGGTGGCAGAAATAAGGAAGTCCTCAATAAAAATCAGCATTTACTTTTGACAGATGTGAGATTCTGGAACTTATTTCTCTTTACTTGCTCTGCCTGGTGATTAAATTCTGATTTTAAAAGAAATAGTTTTAATTTCTTATCAGAATGCTGCCACCAAATAAATAAAATACGTACTTTAACTATATGCAATCTTGTCTATATTATACTGTTGTCAACAGAAACATTATCAGGGGCCAACTTCATGAAAGGAGATATGTGATAGAAGATGGAGTTGTTGGAATGGAAAAAAAAAAGTCAAATTTTACTTTGGATTAATCAGAGGGAAGAAAGCAAACAGATAGGAAAGGAAAGGCAGGCTTAGCCAAGTTGAAGTGACTGAACTCGGGGCAGTGGGAGAATAGGATCATAGTTTGAAGAGAGCTGCGAGGTTGTTTAGTCCAGGTGAGGATCATAATCCCAGAAGACCCAGTCACAAACACCATAACACTGAATGTTGAAATCCTGAAAGATTAAAATTCCTAAGGTCTAAATTCTCTTTTTTTTAATAGAGACAGAGTGAATTGGTTCATTCTCATGCTCCCAATAAAAACATACACGAGCCTGGGTAATTTATAAAAGAAAGAGGTTTAATTGACTCAGTTCAGTATGGCTGGGAAGGCTTCAGAAAACTTACAATCATGGTGAATGCAAACAAGAAGCAAGGTACCAGGAGGTGCTGAGCAAAAGGAGAAAAGCCCCTTATAAAACCTTCAGGTATCACTCACTCTCATGAGAACAGGATGGGGGTAAACACCCCCATGATTCAATTACCTCCAACTGGGTTCCTCCCATAACATGTAGGGATTATGGAAACTACATTTCAAGGTGAGATTTGGGTGGGGACACAGCCAAACCATATCATTCTGCCCCCAGCCCCTTCCAAATCTCATGTCCTTACATTTTAAAACATGATCATGCCTTTCTAACAGTCCCCCAAAGTCTTAGCTCATTCCAGCATTAACCCAAATGTCCAAGTCCAAAGTCTTATCTTAGACAAGGCAAGGCCCTTCTGCCTATGAGCATGTAAAGTCAAAATTAAGTTAGTTACTTCATAGATACAATGAGGATATAGGCATTGGGTAAATACACCTGGTCCAAATGGGAGAAATTGGCCAAAATGAAGGGACTGCACGCCCCATGCAAGTCCAAAATTCAATGGGTCAGTCAAATCTTGAAGCTCTGAAATGATTTCCTTTGACTTCATGTCTCACATCCAGGTCATGCTGAAGCAAGAGGTGGGATCTCATGGCCTTGGGCAGCTCCACCCCTGTTGCTTTGCAGGGTACAGCCCTCCTCCTGGCTGCTTTCACAGGCTGGTGCTGAGTGTCTGTGGCTTTTCCAGGCAATACAGTGTAAGCTGTCAGTGTATCTACCATTCTGGAGTCTGGAGGATGGTGGCCCTCTTCTCTCAGCTCCACTAGGCAGTGCCCCAGTGGGGACTCTGTGGGGGCTCTGACACCACATTTCCCTTCTGCACTCACTGCCCTAGCAGAGGTTCCCCATGAGGGCTCCGTCCCCATCACAAATTTGTGCCTGAACACCCAGGCGTTTCCATGCATCCTCTGAAATTTAGGTGTAGATACCCAAACCTCAATTCTTGACTTCTGTGCACCCACAGGCCCAACGCCTCATGTAAGCTGCCAAGGCTTGGGCCTTGTACCCTCTGAAGCCATGGCCTGAGCTGTACATTGGCCCTTTAGCCATGATTGGGACACAGGGCGCCAAGTCCTGAGACTGCACAGAGCAGCAAGTCCCTGCACCGAGCCCATTAAACCATTTTTTTTCCTCCTAGGCCTCCTGGTCTGTGATGGTTTGAGTTGCTGTGAAGGTCTCTGACATTCCCTGAAGACATTTTCCCATTGTCTTGGTGATTAATATTTAGCTCCTCGTTACTTATGCAAATTTCTGCAGCTGGCTTGAATTTCTCTCCAGAAAATGGGTTTTCCTTTTCTATCTCATCATCAACCTGCAAAATTTTTAAAACTTTTATGCTTTGCTTCCTCTTGAACACTTTGCTACTTAGGAATTTATTCTGCCAGATACCCTAAACCATGTCTCTCAAGTTTAAAGTTCCACAGATTTCTAGGGCAGGGGCAAAATGCCATCAGTCTCTTTGCATAGCAAGAGTCACCTTTATTCCAGTTCCCAACAAGTTCTTCGTCTCCATATGAGACCACCTCAGCCTGGACTTCATTGTCCATGTCACTATCAGCATTTTCCTCAAAACCATTCTGCAAGTCTCTAGGAAGTTCCAAACTTCCTCACATTTTTCTCTCTTCTTCCGAACCCTGCAAACTGTTCAACCTCTGCCTGTTACCCAGTTCCAAATTCACTTCCACATTTTTAGGTATCCTTATAGCAATGCCCCACTACCTCAGTACACATTTACTGTATCAGTCCATTCTCATGCTGCTAATAAAGATATAACCAAGCTTGGGTAATTTATAAAGTAAAGAGGTTTAATTGACTCACAGTTCATCATAGCTGGGGAGGACTCAGGAAACTTACAAGCATGGTAGAATGCAAAGGGGAAGCAAGTCACCTTCACGAGGTGGCAGGAAGGAGAATCACAAGCAAAGGGGGAAAAGCTCCTTATAAAACCATCAGATCTTGTGATAACTCATTCACTATCATGAGAACAGCATGGGGGTAATTGCCTCCATGATTCAATTACCTCCCACTGGGTCCCCATCATGATATGTGAGGATTATGGGAACTACAATTCAAGATGAGATTTGGTTGGAGACACAGCCAAACCATATCATGGGGTCTCACTTTATTGCCCCGGCTGATTTCAAACTCCTGGGCTCAAGTGACCCTCCTGACTTGGCCTCCCAAAGTGCTGGGAATACAGGCATGAGCCACCATACCCAGTCCTAAAGTCTAAATTCTTAACATCTAAAATCCAGAAAATCACACTCACAGGAGAGTTGTACCAAGTTAGTTGCATCGTGTTAGGTACAACTGTTGCTTTGTTTTCTTTTTATTTGGAAATTATATATGGTTTAAGGAGGTCCATATGGGTGCCAAATCTGCAAGGGGTGGACTTGCAGGCTTAATTTCAGGTGTCAACTTGACTGGATTAAGGAATCCCTGGAAAGCTGGGAAAGCATTATTTTGGGTATGTCTGTGATGGTTTTCTCAGAAGAGATCAGTGTGTGGGTCTGAGCGGACTAGGTGAGGAAGATCTGCTGTCACTGTTTTGAATGTCTTGAATATCACAGAAGAAGTTAAAATGAAAGTAAAAAATGCACAAAATCTTGTCTGCCAAATTATGTAATCATGTACCAAGCACCTCTACAGGTAGCACCATGCTTGCCTTCACAAAATGCCTTTTGTGAGATAATAAAAATAGTTCAAAAAATTCAGTGGCCTTCTGAGCCAGACACCGCCTGGCACAGAGCTTCCTCCAGTGCTACAAGACATATTAAATCATGAACTATTCTTGATTAGGGATTTGACTGTCAAAAAAGGTAAACATGTTTATTTACCACTAAGTTTAACATAACAAAACTGGTGCATGTTTCACTTTGGCTGATGAACGGCACTTTCAAAACTGTCCCCAGTGACTTTTTTAAATCAACTTTATACAGTTTATGCCCCCATTGGATTACAAAATTCTGTAATTTAATCTGCATGTTTATTGTTTAATAACTGGAAAAAGTGAAGAACTTTTTAAAAGCTTATTTGAAGATTTGGAGGGCTTTGCAGAGGAAAATAGATTTCAATTGGATCCCCAAACTATAATGACAAGTTTTTAATTAGGTGTGATCAAGGCTTCTAAAAGTGAAATGCAAGTTGTTACCAGTAAAGTTTATATCTTCCATTCAGCCCAGCTCATTTGCCAGAAAATTCAGGTGAGTGGATTGGCCAGACTATCTGGCAAGGATGAAAATTTTAGTTTAAAAATGTGTCATTTGTCTGTATTGGCATTCCTCCCACCTGATAAAATTCCAGGAGCTTTTGATAAATTAAAACCATAATTGCCTGAAGAAGACAGAAATATTACATACTGGTTTGAAAATAATGATGTGCAAGGTAGTATAAGAAGTCATTTAGGCAACGGTGTTGCTGTTCAATCAAGAGTATTGTTTCTGCCAAATGAGTGGTCTGTATATGATGGCCTGCAAAATGGATTTCCACATACTCAAAACAATAGACAAGAATGGCATAGAAGATTGGAAAATGTAATAGGAAATACTCATGTCAGTGTGTATCAAATTATAGAAGAATTTCAAAAAGAGCAGTGTCACGTAGAAAATGAATGTGAATGTATTTTATGAGGAGAGTCAAATCCTAAAAACAAAAAAGGCAACTATTCATCGTGATGCATGACTTCAAAATATAGCTAATGATCATGAAAGTCAGCCAGCTATGATGAACTCTGCAATTGCCCATAATCTATCCATGTAATATACTTTTTATGTGTCAATTTTCTTTTTAGTTGTTTCTTTTTCCATTTTTTCCACTATTTTAAATTGTCAGCATTATTTTTTACAAGTTGCTATGCTGTGTATTTCATCTTAGTATCATTTCCAATACTGGAGGTATAAATTTTGCAAAGACTTTTAGAGAGTTCTAATTTGTCTTATGCATTTTTTTTGCAAATTTAACTCCACAAGAGTGCATTATCACAAGACTGACTTTGTGTGTAAGCATTGTACATGTACATAAAAACATTAAAGTTTCCTCAATAAATGAGAAGATATCCTTTTTGCACATTTGCATTTGGGAAAGAGAAAATTCCTCAGGGTCTCAGCTCTTTGAATGCATATTAGATGGTGACCCATCCCAGCTTTTGATGAATCTGGTCGAAAGACTTAGGTTGTCTGTCACAATATTCCAGATGACCTAAGTTATAAAGCTGAGTGCACCCAGTTACCAACCATGCTTTTATACATTTTGCTTTTTGACCCATTTCTTTACAAGTACAACTCGTCTGCTCATTACCATTATACCCGTGAGACTATCGTTAGCATACCTGAGTTTTATGCTTGCAAATATATGTATGTTATTATTGCCTATTGATTGTGTAAAGTGGCCTAGGAAGCGTTCTGTTGTGTTTTTATACGTTTCTCAAATAAATTCCATCTTAAAAATACAAATAAATGCTTTTTTGTTGTTGTTTTTAGACAGAGTCTCACTCTGTCGCCCAGGCTGGAGTGCAGTGGTGCAATCGCGGCTCACTGTAACCTCCACCTCCTGGGTTCAAGCGATTCTCCTGCCTCAGCCTCCCGAGTAACTGGGACTACAGGCACCCGTCACGATGCCTGGCTAATTTTTTGTATTTTTAGTAAAGATGGGGTTTCACCGTGTTAGCCAGGATGGTCTCCATCTCTTGAATTTGTGATCCACCCGCCTAAGCCTCCAAAAGTGCTGGGATTAAAGGCATGAGCCACCATGCGCTGCCCAATAAGTGCTTTTTAAAGAATGTGTTAATAATTTTTTTCCAGAATTGTATGTTCGAATTTTGTTTTTTTAGGATTGTAATTTTCAGGATTTTAGACTGTACAGATTTAAATCTTTTGGGACTTCAACATTTGGGATTACGATGTTTAGGATTGTGTTTTCCTGGGCTGTGGCCCAAACTCATGTGGTCCAACACTATTTCACATGAGAAGAATCAAACCACGTGCATAGATGCAATGAAGGCTTAAATAGGTGTCATGTATAGATTATATCCCAGGAAAACATGATTAAGATGATACATAGTGACTTTTTTTTTCCCAGTGAAAAAGATCCACATTCTTTTTCTTGTGTGGAATTAAACACAATTTCTGAATCAATGTAAGTGAATGCAAATCACCACGTTCATTTAGCTGATGCTCCTTTATTAACAGGGATAGAAAGGAGGTCATTCGAAGAGATGATGGCACGGGACCCAGGACCTGAGGAAGCTGCAGTGGGTGAAGGGGAGAAACAGAGGAGCAGGGGCTGGAGAAAGAGTGGGGAGTCATCAACCACCCTCCTTTCTCCTGGCGTCTGGTGTTCGGAGCCCAGAGGTCTTCTCTAGGGCCTCGGAGAAGCTTCCAAGTCTGCTCATTTCTCTTTCCCCATCCCTGCTTGTATCACAAATAAAGAAATTATTGACAACTGAGTTCCTGACAAGGTGGCAGGATTTTAGGGAACCTTCACCTCGTCTGAAACTCATGAAGGTAGTGGGAATCCCATGGGTTGGTTAGCAATAGTCCCTGAGATTATTTGGTCATATAAATAATCAGAAAACTCATAGTCATCTTGCTTTTCTCATAATGCTCAGCTGGGGGATGGTGGGGGTAGGGAGGACTGGAGTGAGAAGAGATAGAACCAGAGCTGGCTTTCACGTATGGGGCTCTCCAGAGCAATCAGGCCTAAGTACAACGAAGAGGGGTTTTGAAGCCGCTCTGGCTAGGGCAGCCTGGTCTCAGGCCCCAGCTCACACCAAGCACATCACCTGTCTGACTGGGAAGCTTAAGCAATGTTTCTGTTTTTGCTTTTGTTTTCTGGTAAATAATTCAATGTCATTAGCTACATTCACAATGCTGTGCAATCATCACCACTATCCATTTCTGAAACATTCTATCATCCCAGACAGGAACTCTGTGCCCATTAGACACTAACCCCGCCCATTTCTACCTCCTGCCAGTCCTGAAAACCTCTATTCTACTTTGTGTCTCTATTAATTTTCCTGTTCCAGGTTCTTCATATAGATGGAATCACGTAGTCTGTGTTTGACGTCTCACTTAGCATAATGTTTTTAAGTTTTATCTATGTGGTAGCAAGTATCAGAATTCCCTCCCTTTTTAAAGATCACTAATATTCCATTTTATGTCTATACCACATTTTGTTTATCCATCGTCCCTCAATAGACTTTTTAGGTTGTTTCCACCTTGTGGTTCCTGTAAATAAGGCTGCTGTGATGCTGCAATGAACACAGGTGTAGCAGGCAGGTGTGGTGGCATGCGCCTGTAGTTCCTGCTACTCAGGCATCTGAGGCAGGAAGATCGCTTGAGCCCAGGAGTCCTGGGCTGCAGGGTGCTGTGTTGATCAGATGTCTGCACAAAATTAGACATTAGTACAGTGACCTCCTGGGGTAAGGGACTACCAGGTTGCCTAAGGAGGGGCGAACCGGCCTGGTTTGGAGACAAAGCAGGGCACAACTCCCAGTTTGACCAGCAGGGGGTCATGCCTGTGGACAGCCACGCAGCAGGGGGATCCTGCCCGTGGACAGCCCCACAGCAGGGAGATCGTGCCCATGGACAGCCCCGCAGCAGGGGGATCGTGCCTGTAAACAGCCCCGCAGCAGGGGGTCATGCCTGTGGACAGCCCCTCAGCAGGGAGGTTGTGCCTCTGGACGGCCCCGCAGCAGGGGATTGTGCCTGTGGACAGCCCCGCAGCAGGGGGTCGTGCCTGTGGACAGCTCCCCAGCAGGGGGATCATGCCTATAATCAGCCCCTGCACTCCAGGCTGGGAAACAGAATGAGACCCTATTTATTAAAAAAAAAAAGGGGGGGATGGGGAGAGAACACAGGTGCACAAGTATCTATTTGAGTAACTGCTTTCCATTCTTTTGAAGATAGATATAGGTAGATAAAGATACAGATATAGAGATTTATAGATGTGAGTGGGCTTACTGAATCATATGGTAATTCTATGTCTAAATTCTTGAGGAACCATATGTTTTCCACAGCCGATGTACTATTTTTCATACCCACCCTCAATGCACAAGAGTTACAATTTTTCCACATCCTTGTCAGCACTTATTATTTTCTGGGTGTTTTTGTTTTGTTTTGAGGCCGAGTCTCCTTCTGTCTCCAGGCTGGAGTGCAGTGGCGTGATCTCGGCTCACTGCAACCTCCGCCTCCCAGGTTCAAGCGATTCTCGTGCCTCAGCCTCTCAATTAGCTGAGATTACACATGTGTGCCACCATGCCCGACTAATTGTGTGTGTGTGTGTGTGTTGTTTTTTGTTTTGTTTTGTTTTTGGTACAGATGAGGTTTCACCATGTTGGCCTGGCTGCTGTCAAACTCCAGACCTCAGGTGATCCCAAAGGGCTTGGATTACAGGTGTGAACCAGCGTGCATGGCCCCTGATTTTTTTGTTTTTTCTTTTTTGATAACAGCCATCCTAATCGTTGTGCAATGTGTGTGTGTGTGTTTTTAATATCACATTGGTGATTCTAATGTGTAACCAGGAAAGAAAAGCATGGATTCTGGGTCTCAATTTTTCATCTAGGTTAACTGGAGCAAATAAAACCTATTGAAGAGTTCTCCTGATAATTGAATGAGTTCCCCCATAGAAGGCAAAATCTACAAATGTTGGTTCCTCTCTTATTCCCTTGGAATTCTACTAAACTTCCGGCCTCAACATACAGAGAAACTCTCTGAAGCCTAAAACTATGCAGATTTGACACAGGGCTGATTTTAACTTCTGTTTTGCTTTTACCATATAGCTAGCTGCAGATGTCACATGTGTCCTCCATGACATCTAAATAGCACTACACCTGCACCAGATTTCCTCTCAAATTAACTACTCATCAGTTCTGTTATTAAACAAACAAGGAGCAGCTGTAATACTGAAGGAATGTGTGGAATTGTGCTTTAAAATTACATCTCTGCCAACACTTTTAGTTTGCTTGTTGAATAACTACAAGTTTTCCAGTTAAATTAATAGAATACTTTATACCCATAAAATCCTGAAATACTTGGCAATACACACAACAAAATATTTTACAAGTAGAGAATATAATAAATGTATGACACTTTAGACATTCATTGAGATACGTTTAAACAGTGTTTACTTTTCATTGGTGTGCTTTCTTTCATCTCACAGTAATAAGCTGTGGTTTAGTTTATCGGCTGAATACTCACTATGCAGTCTTTTGTAAAATTTTGGAGGTCTGCAGTAATGTGATTGTTGAGCTTCAACACAAAACACAGAAGATCCCAGGAACCACAAACTAATCCATCCACTATGCAGTATCTAAAGTGTTTGCAAAAATAAAAACAAACAACAACAACAAAAAAAAAAAAACTGAACAACTGACTTGTAGCAAAGCTATCAGGATAGTGCAAAAGTAATTGTGGTTTTGCCATTGAAAGTAATGAAAGTAATTGAAAGAATAGGTGTTCTAGCTGGACATTCTACAATGCATGCCACAACCATGGATCAATTGTGTATTGAAAACCCAAACCAACTGAGGATCACTGCTGTGCATTATTCCCATCGTGTCATAATGTGGCAAACTAAAACTAAGGACTTGTAACAAGGGATTTTCAGAGGGAGAGCAAACATATTGGTTAAAGCAAAGAAAACTGGCAATTTTCAATTTTCTCAAATCAAACTATTCACTACTTTGTATCCTTCTCTACAAAATCCAGAACTTTCGATAGGATCACCCTTAGGTAAAACTGTAAAGTGAGCAGCTTCTGATCAATAGGCCTCAACTCCTTTTCCCTTCTGTATCACAGACCGTGTGGGTGAATCCATCACATGACCTAATACGATTTGGCCAGTTGGGAAAGGTCTCTTTAAAGAACTAATACTCAGGCTGGGATCTAGAGAAAGCATCGTAATCTTGAATGTGCATATGAACCACCTGGGCACCTTGTCAACAAACAGATTCTGATTCATTGGATCTAGGGTGGTGCCTGAGCTCTAGCAAGCTCCCAGGGATGCCTATGTGACTGCCTTGGACATCAGTTACAGTAGCAAGAATATAAGCAGATACCAGCCAACAAAGTAGGAGTGAATGCATCACGGCCCAGGCAGCCCTGGACCACGCCAGCTCAGGGATCTGAGGAAAGAGTAACTGGACTGAGGTCTATGAGTGCTTCCATGAGAGGTGAGGCTGAGGAGGTGGACAAGATCTAGATCAATGTGTTAACTTCCTACTAAATGCAAGGCTAGGCTCTGCATAAACAGAAACAAATAAGGCAAATCTAGTCCTTGCATCTTTAGAGCTTGCAGTCTAGCAGAGTTATTTCATGGGTAGAAAATCATTAAAGATTTTTAAACGAAGGAGATACATGATCTAATTCAAATTTTTGAAGAACCTCTCTGGGTGTGCCATAGAGAAGGTATTGGAGAGGCAAAAAGTTGGATAGAGGAGTATATGTTTGCAGATCAGCTGAAAGATGCGGATGACAGAAGCGGATAATTTTAGCACATATTTTGAAAGTGAAATAACAGTACTTGGTTGCAAGTTGTGATGGTAGGGGGGGTTGCAGGAAGAAGAAAGCATCAAGGATGATGATGCTTTCTGGAAGAAGCCAATGGGTAAATGGAGACGATTTTTATAAAGAATGGTAAGGCGGAAGAAGAAATAAACTAACAAAAGGGAAATGATTGAGGAAGTGGCATAGATGTGGGGGCAGAACTCAAGAGTTTTGTATTCTGATTTTAGGAATGCCTGTGAAAATCCCAGTGGAGATTTCAAGATGGCAGGTGCACATGTTTTGGAGCTTGGGAGGAGAGGTCTGTAGGAGCCATATGCATATCAATGGTATCTAAAGCCATAGGAATTAATAAAACCTTGTCTAGAGTCTGTGTAGGCAGGGGTGTCCAACCTTTTGGCTTCCCTGGCTGCATTCGAATAAGAAGAATTGTCTTGGGCCACACATAAAATATACTAACATTAACAATAGAGGATGAGCTAAAAAAAATCATAAAATATCTTATAATGCTTGAAGAATGTTTACAAATTTGTGTTTGGCTGCATTCAAAGCTGTCCTGGGCCACACGTGGCCCACAGGCCATTGGTTGGACAAGCTTAGTATGGAATAAGAACAGAAGAGGACCCAGGATTTAGGAACTTCAACATTTAAAGTTTGGGCAAACAGGGAGAAGCTGATAAGGAAATAGTTCAAGCTAGAGGAAGAGTTCAGGGGTCTACTCTACCGAATGTTCCTGAGACCCCATTGGACTTATATATTACATAATATGTACAATATATGTCACTTTGGTGATGGATACCCTAATAGCTTTGAACTGACCACTATGCATGGAAAAAAATTGCACACGTATCCCATAAATTTTATATAAACAAAAGTAAATAGAAGGAAGAAAAGGAGAAAGAGAGAGAAGGAAGGAAGGAAGGAAGGAAGGAAGGAAGGGTGAGGAAAGGAAAGGAAAGAAGGAAAGGAGAGCGAGGAAAGGAAGGGAAGGGAAAGGAAAGGAAAGGAAAGGAAAGGAAAGGAAAGGGAAGGAAAGAAGGGAGAGAGAGGGAAGGTTAGGAAAGGGAGGGAAGGAAGGAAGGGAGAAAGAAAGAGGAAAGAAAGAGAGAGAGAAAGAGAGAAAGAGAAGAAAGAAAGAAAGAAAGAAAGAAAGAAAGAAAGAAAGAAGGAAAGAAGGAAAGAAAGGAAGAAGGAAAGAAGGAAAGAAAGGGAGAGAAAGAAAGAAAGAGGAATAGTGTTCATGATGTTTAGGAATCACCAATTCTGGGGGTGCTGAATTGTGTCCCCCCAGATTCCTATGTTGAAGAGCTGATCCCCACTGCCTCAGAGTGACTGATTTAGAGAAGGCATTCAAAGAGGTAAGTGAGGTCAAATGAAGCCATATGGGTGGACCCTAAGCCAATATGGCAGGTGTCCATCTAAAAAGAGATTGAGACACAGGCAACACAGCCTGAGGACACAGCAAGAAGGGAGGCATCTGCAAGGCAGCAGTTCTCAGAAGAAGGCAAACCTGCTGACATTCCATCCTGGATTTCCAGTCTTCAGAGCTTGAGAAGATAAACCACTCAATCTGTGGCAGCTTGTGATGGAAGCCCCTAGCACTCTTATATGGTGACCTTAGCACAAGCAGTTTCATAGGCTTGATGAAAGTGAAAGCCAAACTGACCTGAATAAAGAGTGAAAGGAAAATGAGCAAAAGGAGATAGTAAGTGTGGAAAATCCTTGAGAAAAATTTGCCAAGAAAAGAGGAGATGGCTTGATAGCTAGAAAGCACACAGAGTCAAAGTTAAGGTTCCTCCAAAACAGAAGATATTTTAAATGAAAAATTTATATTTAAATGCTGACAGAATGCATCAAGAAGGAGAGAGATTGAAGATGCAGATGACAAATGGAAAAGCAATGAACAGAATCCGTGAAAAGTCAGGAAAAGAAGGGAGACTATTAGAGGGATGTCCTTTTACAGGAAGAGGAATACTTCCTCCACTGCCCCAGGATTTAAAAAGCTTATAAATTACAGGTAACATTCTACCTAATTATAGAACTTTACGCTTTTCAATAAATTTTATTGTACATAATACAGTCACTCTGTGAATTCAGTGAGACAGATAGTTATCCACATTTTACATAAAAAGAAAGAAAAGGCAGAAAAGAAGTGATTTGCTTGAAGTAACACAGAAATAGCTGGTAGAATCATGTACTGTGTAGATGGCAGGGCTCCTGACTTCTCATTTCACACCAGAATTGTAGACAGAATTAGATATAATGACAGTTATTATATTTGTAAACCTTTCAAATAAGAATATCCTTAGAATTTCATTCATTAACCAAGCTCAAAGCATGTGATTAGCATCTGAAAATGTATTATTATACAATCAATAGACAGCAAAAGAGGTTTCCGTTTTCCTGTGTATTTGAAAGAGTTCAACAGCCCTAAGTCACACAGTTGGAGGAAACTCAAACAAGGGAAATTTCATTTGAAGTGATGAAATTAACATGATGAAGTTTACAATACAAAGATTTTTGTTTCAAGACTCTGAGGTTTGGTAGGGAGGAAGGGGAAAGGCAGATGACACCAAATAAGACTGGTTGGAGAGGGGATGAGAAGCATCAATTAGAAAGCTCTTCAAATTCAAACGGACCGTTCAAACCACCCTAGGACTAGACTCCAATCGGGAAAGACTCTGAAGGAAATGATCTCCTACTGTCACGAGATGGCTAACGTGATTTAGGTAAAAAGCTTTTAGTTTTATGGCTGGGGAGGTAGCAATAAAGAAAATGAACCTCCTGCCAGTGATTCTTTTTCAAGCTCTGCAAATTCCTGTGTCTGGGGAAGCTATAAAGAATGTCCAGCCTCATGTCAAAAGAATTGCCACAGATCTCCAGCTCACCTGCATTCAAGCATTGAAACATCCCTAAGCCTGTTCCGAGGCCAGCCTGGAACTGAGAATCCAGGAGAGTCTTTTCTGTTCTGCTGCTGCAGCTACACTATCTACTTGTTAGCATAACCAGGGCCACCAGCAACACATGCTAGAGAAATACAGAGAGCAAAAATCAACAGCTGATGAAAAGCAGAATCTTTTCTTTTTGACAGCAATACCAATAGCATGAAGCACGTCCCTTTTGGAGCTTTCCAAACCAATTCAAAAGCGAGTTTTCTGGTGCGGATCAAGAAAGCTAGCCAAATTGCCCCTGAGTGCATAGCCACTGGCCAAGATATTGATGACTGTAGGCAGCTCAGGACGCATCCTCGGCCCCGGTGCTGTCTTTCTCAGAGCTCTGTTTAATTCCATCAGGCACGGGCAGCATTTGGAGAAAGCTGTGTTGATTTTTGTGATCTTCAGCCAGCACAGAAGTGGCCAGTTCCCTAGGCTCCCAGCACCATCCTTCTCCTGCCCTGCCCCTTCATGGCCTTCCAGGGCTCAATGGACCCAGACTTGCCTTTCACCCCTGTCAAAACCTCACAGTCCTGTGTGTCTGTTTCCCTTTGAACTACACAAACTAACTAATTTGGTGAACCTATTAAGTGAACTTCTTTATACTCATGATCTAGAGTGCATTGAACGCTAAAGGGTTTGCTAAACAGTGTCAAAATCAATTCTGTCTTCTTCCAACTGGACCAAGTCTTCTTTGAGTTAATAAAACTCTGAGAAATCTGAGTGGATTTTTCATAGTATCTCTTTCTATTCCTTTGGGGTTTTTTTGTTTGTTTTTTTACTTTTCATGGAGATTTTCCTTAATTTAACCCAAAAGATATACCCATATGACATTTGAACTAATATGAAAGAGGTAGTAGGACAAAGAATTTGAAGACAGTCTTTCAGAGCCCCACAAAGTACTTGAAATTTATCAATAAACCCCTCCCGGTGCTTCCCACCATGTTCCACCATTCCATCTCCATTTTAAGCCATGAACCTTCAAGTAGCATCTCCTCCTGTGAAACCTACGGTTTGGAGATAAATTATTGATGATTAATGACTTAGAAGAACCAAAGAAAGGATCCTCTAGTGGAGACACAGCATGGAAATGATGGTCCAGGGTGAGACGGAACTGCTTCCAATCCCAGTGCCGCCTGTGTGGTTCCAGCTGTGTGCTGCTCTTCCTCTAATCTTGTTTACTCGTCTCTAATATGGGACTAATAACATATACATCAGACTACTGTGAGGGTTGAATGTAACGATATTCCAAATTGTTGCATGTGTCCAGTACTTAACATAGTGCCAAGAACAAAACATGTATCAATAAGTATGAATAGCCTTCCCAGCGCACACCTCCAAACAGTGGATTTCTGGCCGATGACAAGTAGTGGTTCCCAGCGGTCCTACAGGTTATGGTTTAACTTACCACTAGCCAATCAGTAAGTTTGCCTCAGACCACATCACAATTCTTTTGCAAGCCTGGAGCTTGGTGAAAAACAAGGGGGAAAATAATTAATGTCCCTAAGGCAGATGCTGAAAGATTAACTTCATAACATAATTCTCTCACCAGACTTGTTTCCTGAATGTCTATTTAAACTTTAACTCTGCAAATAAAATAAAGTTGGTAATGAAGGTGATTAAGATGGTATTTTTCCAGAGAACGAGTCTCCTCACAACATAACTAAGAAAGAGATATATGTACAGAAAACGAAGCACAGTAAAATATCACTTCATTACTATCGGAGATTTTCCCCAAACAGAGAAAGCTCTACAGAGCTGAGCTTAAGCCAGAACTCTGTTATTTACTTGGTCTAATGCCAAAACAGGCCAGAGACTCCTTTCAGCTACTTCTCTTTAATCCCAAACCTATGTCTCGCTTTGATCTAAGAAAGAGCCAAATTCCCAGGAGGCGCCAGGGTAGAGAAAAGCAGCCAGCCGGAGAGTGGCCTCCATGCCAGGGGAGTGTGTCTGAGCTTTGTTTTATTTTTCTTATTTGTCTGTAGTTGTGTGATTGGTAGAAGAGAGTAGATATGAAGTCTACTGACACAGGATTGGTCTTCAGGCATGTCTTACCAAGCATTTGGGGGAACAGAGGGGTTCCACAAATAAGAGAGCAATGATCAGACTTTCTTCTAAAAGGAGCAGCCACAAGCTACCTTAACTCTCCAACTTGCCCATTAATCTTCACCTAGAGTTAGGAAGATTTCACCATTAGCTGTGGCCCATAAAAGATCCTTAAGCTTGACCAACCACAGAGGTCCATCTCCTTGAGGAGGAAGTGAAAGGGGTATGGACAGAAGCTGTGAGCTTTCTGTCCTCCGCAGGCCCCCAGCTGTGTCTTCTACTTCTTGTACAAGATAGTCTCTAAATGATGTTTTCTGGCTGACAATGCCACATAACTGATCCTTATCTCACTATGGAAATGAAAGATTTCAAAGAATTTGTTGCCTGAAATATGGTGCCATAATCACATATTAATAAAGCTGCTATCCAGAAAGAAGGCAGATTTCAAAAGAAAAGCTGTTAGCATTCTCAGGGACCTAAAAAGTACATATTGTAGAACAATGGTAAATAGATCTTGGAATCCGGTAGACTTTAATTCAAACCCCAGCTATGCCAGTTATTAACTTATGTGACATTGGGAAAGCCTCTCAAATTTATATTTGCAAAATCAGAATAATGTAAGTAGCCAACAAATAGGATTTAATGGAGGTAATAATGAAGGTTATTAAGATGATAAAATTAAACAGTGAATATAAAGTCCTTAGCATTTAATAAATTTATTTTATGATTTCAAAGCACATGCTTTTACCTACAGTGCTATAAAGCTGCTTGCAATAGTCAAAGTTAATAGAAGCTCTTGTCAGAGCTAATAGAAGCCTTGTATATGTAATTATTTAAGAATTATGTAAATATACACAATAGGGTAGGAATGAGAAAATCTTTAGAGGAAATATTCAAGTACGTTTGATTTCTAGCAAATCCAGATAGACAGTTTTGTCAACAACCAAGTCATAATTTTAAGTCTTGTTATAGGAGCTAGAATTTTATTCAAGGGACAACTGATTTGATTAGATTAGATGCTGTGCACTGCATGTTTCCTTCAACAAATGCACAAGTTGAAACTCTAACAATAGAATGGCATTAGAAGGAGGACCTTTGGGAAGTAATTTGGTTTTGATGAGGATGGAGTCCCCACAATGGGGTTAGCATCCTAATAAGAAGAGTAGGAGACTAGAGCCCTCTTCTCTCAGCCATGTGAAGATAAAACAAGAACACCTGCAAACCAGTAAGAGGGCCTTCACCAGACACTGGCTCTGCTGGCCCAGATTTTAATCTTTGAATTCCCACAACTGTGAGAAACAAGTATATGCTGTTTAAGCCACTCAGTCTACAGTTGTTTGTAGCAGCAGCCTGAGCAGACAAAGACATAGGGTTCCTTTTATTTTCAGAATTCGGTTTAGCCGTAATCACCTACCATCCTGAGATGCTGTTTCCTCCCTTGAAATATAAGCTCTGGGACTATAGCTTCAAGGACAAATTCTGAAGAATTTGTCTCTGCTCTTGTGGGATGCTAACCTAACCAATCAAGGAATGTTTGCTCAATGGAATGAAACATCTTAATGCAGCTCGCCAGCCAATATCTGCAGAGCACACTTCATGGGTTCTGGCTGGCTTGAATTTCTGAGACTACTTCATCCTACTCATCAAACTGTGGACTCAGATTCAGCCAGGAGGCCCAGATTCTAGCGTCAGTTTTGTCCTTGTGATACAAATGCTCTCCTGCTTCACTGAACATGAAACCCTGAATATTTGGCCATTACTCTGGCAATTGTCCTCTCTCCCTGTGCCAATTGCCAATCAACCCCACTCCCAGGCAGCCTTGGCAGTTATGTCTGCTTGGCCTGCTGTAGCAGCCAATGACTTAGTAAAAGTCAGAACATAGATCTGTTAGCTCTCAGTCCAGGATTTCCCCATAACTCGTCCATGTTTATATTAAACAACTAGGTTTGCTTTTAAAATTCTTTTTCATTTATTTAGACTCTTCTTAGAACTTATCATTTTGAGAATCCTGACCTGCCAATATTCCATAACCTTTCTGAAAGTGACACAGCAAATACGATGTATGCACACTGCTAACTGCAGCTGATTTCGTTTTCCATCTTCTATAAAGCACATTAGGTAATTTCTAAACCAGCAGTAAAATCTATTTATAAAGAATGCTGATTTGTTTTCTGCATTTTCCAACACAGAGCTTCAATTTATTTCCTTACCATAAAAAACCGTTACTTTTTAAAACAATCATAGTTAGTATATTTTATAAATGCTTTAATTTTTGTAAAGTCCAACTTGCAAATTGGAGTGTAAATAGCTTTCTTAAAATGGAAGGAACTGTGTTAGACCCAGTATGCTGATTGATTATTTCACTGTGCTTCAAAGCAGACGATTTCACAGTCATTGGGTATATAATGTAATGAGTTTTTATAAAGCAATTGAAATCATTAAAAATATAATTATAATAAATAAAATTATAGGGAAAAGGAAATCTTCATTCTGACAATGCCAAATTTTTTTAACTAACTCATTGCTAAAAGATTATGTTTCTACATGAAAAATTTTACACATTCTTTCTATGAAATAAACCTGATAACACCTTGAAAACTTAATAGTTATGGAAAAGGAACTACTGTGGCTTTTTTTAGAGAATGTCATGTTCTTGATGTTCTTGAGTGAGCTGTCTCATGTTCTTAGAAAGGAAACAGCAGCACCTTGTGGACAAACAAAGAAAGTGAATGAATTTTTAGGACCCAGTGCAGTGGTTCAGGCCTGTAATCTAAGCACTTTGGGAGACTTGGGTGGAGGGTAACTTGAGCCCAAGTGTTCAAGACCAGCCTGGGCAACACAGTGATACGCCCATCTTTACCAAAAATTGAAAAATTTGCTGGGCTTGGTGGCTCATACCTCAGGTCCCAGCTACTTGGAAGGCTGAGGTGGGAGGATCGCTTAAGCCCAGGAGGTCAAGGCTGCAGTGACTGTGATCATACGACTGCATTCCAGCCTGGGTGACACAGCAAGACCCTATTTCAAAAAAATTATATTTATGTGGCACTTTCTACAAGGAATATAGTATCATGTTTGTATTTAAATGACATCAGGACCAGCATGGTGGCTTACACATGTAATCTCAGCTCCTCAGACGGCGGAAGGCAGGAGGATTGCTTGAGGCCAGGAGTTGGAAGACCAGCCTGAGCAGCATAATGAAACCCCCATTTCTACAAAAATAATAATAGTAATTAAAAGCTAGGCGTGCTGGCACACACCTGCAGATCTAGCTACTGTGGAGGCTGAGTGGCAGGATCACATTGAGCCCAGGAGTTTGATTGTATTGTGTATTGTGAACTACGATCTAGCCACTCCACTCCAGACAACACGGCAAGACCCAGTCTCTAAACAAAATAAAGGGACATCAGAGCATTGTTTACAGAGATTTATAAATGATCCCAAAATGTCTTCAGAGAGATAAATCATCTAAATATAGCTATATCGACTCTTCCTAAATTCCAAATTTGGGTGGGAACAATAAATGAGATAGAAGACTTCTTGAAATGTATCAAGACTCAGAAAGACAAAACAAAAGCTTTCATTAGGCAGTATAAAGAATGTTCATTAATGCTATTTCCAATTTATGATACGATCATTTAAAGAGGAAATCCCTGCAACAAGAGGTCAAAGGAAAGGGAAAAGAAATGAAAACAAGGACCATACTTTCTCCACATCCAACCTCTTCTCTACCACCTCTCAGCAAGACCTCCCACACCCAATCACTGCTTTCTCTTGTGGACTTACCCTCTACTCTGTGAACACATGAGACAGAGAACCCTGAGAAGTCCCTGAGTCCCTTCCAGGGGCTCTGCAAGGTCAAATGTCTTTTCATAAAAATACACAGGTTTTGTTTACCTTTTCCAATTTCCATGTCTCTCAAGTATAATTGGAGTTTCCCAGAGGCTACCTGACATGTGATGTCAAAAGAAATTAAATGTAGAAGCAGAAAGGAGAACAAATTTTCTTCTATTAAACCAGACATTAAAGACATACCTAAAAATATAAAACAATGTCACTGTTCTCACCAACTTTACTGCTTAAAAATGATAATTTTAAATAAAAATGTGATTTACGTAAACTTATAAGCATATTTTTTTAATTTCTCAGTTTTAATGTTTATTATGATAAATATAGATAGACATAATCCAAATAAATAAAAGCTCTTTGGGGTTCTCAATAACTTTTAAAAATGTAAAGTGTTCCTAAAACCAAAAATTTGAGGACTGATGTGCTAAATCTCATACCCTTTGATGTAGCTTCCACCCAGGTCATTTCTTAAATACTTGATCAATCATTTCCACATGTCCCTCACCCTATATTTTTTTTTGGCTTAGACCAGTTTGAGTTTGAATTCTATTATTTATAACCAAAGGAGTCCTACCATATTATCTTACCCAGATTTTCATCAACACGGTATATGTTGATCAACAAACTTCCTAAATGTTTCAAGTTAACTCCAAAGAGTGAGGGGGAAAAATAAAGAAGAGGAAGAAAATAACTACTTATCATCCACAGTAGTCAAGGAAGCTGCAGAAGCATCAAGCAAAAGCAGCAGAAGTTAGCTTTGTACTCCCACAAACCCTGCTCTGAAGTACTCCGCCTAGTGGCCCACAGAAGAAACTGCATTTCTAAAATCTTTAAAAAGACAAAAAAGGAATCACCACTTACCCTGGGAACCCTAACAGGGGAGCAGGCCACATAGGAATATGTCCCATTGGTTTGAGGTCGATAAGTCCATTTTCAAAGCTTTAGTAATTCCAGAAACAAGAACATATTTATTTTACTTTGATCACACAATGCCTAGTTATATTAAAAGTAAGGAGACATTCAATAAATACCTTTTATGGAAATAAAAACAGACAATTTAGGAGAAAATTAACTATCAATGCATTATTTTCAAAGGTAAAGAAAAAAGAAATTATTCTGAACACACAAAATTATTTTATCAAATATCATGGTAAATTATCATTATATACTAGGTCACTTAATAAATTTCCAGAGATAATTGGAAAGAGTTTCCACAATAGATTTTGTTTCACCCCAGGAAGAAGTTTCACAAAAAGTTAGTTACTTATCTCCATTGTTACTAGTACCAAACTAATCCTATGATTCTGAGTCAAATTACAAATAATGTCCAGAGTTTTCTCCAGTGAGATCAGAGGAGATGCCTAAGAGGAGTGTGTTTTAATGTGAGGGGATAATTGGTTTATATTTTTCACTGAAAATAACAAATTCTAGACAACTTAAGCAAAACAGGACTTCAATGAAAGGATATTGAATAGTTCACAAAATCATTGAAGATGCTGGAGAAGCAAGGTAAGAACTGAGGGAAACTCAGCACAGCCAAGTTCATTCGACGGAAGCAGATCTTGGAATGCCACCACTAGAATGTTGTCATTTGACACTTGTCACCATGTAGCTGGGCTCTGCTGAACTTAGGCACTTGCTGCCACGTTCCTGGACCTGCATCTCTGCTCAATTTCTCAGAATCATCTCTGATTCTTTCAGGTCTTTTGCATCATTTCATCGGGTTCCAAGTTCTAATAAAGAGCCATCAGTTGGCTGGGCCTAGATATGTGCCCACACGTGAATGGCCAAGAAACTGGAAAAAGGATCATGCACTCCCTTTCAGCTTTTGTAATGGAAGGTGGGGCCTGTCCTCATATTTCTCTTGGGGTTCAAACAACTAGGAAGGGTGTTTTGTTGAAATGAAACCCAAAACTATAGCTATCCATTTATAGCACCTTATTTGTACAGGAAGAAACCATGAAACACAACGTATAAAAGTGCATGGGAGGTCTAAACACATGAGGGGAGAAAGATCATACTTGATTGGTGCTGTGGTTTCACTGTGCCTCCTCCAAGATTCAGCGTTGACAATGTGACAGTGTTGAGGTGGAGCCTACAGGAAGTGATGAGACCATCAGGACTCCTACCACAGGAATGGGTTTAGGAGCCCTCATGAAAGAGCTCCATGGAGGGAGTTTATTCCTCTTGCTCTCCCGCCTTCCACCATGTGAGGAAACAGTGTTCCTTGTCTCTGGAAGATGCAGCATCAAGACACCATCTTGAACGGAGAGAACAGCCCTTACCAGACATCAGACCTGCCAACGCCTTGATCTTGGACTTCCTAGTCTCCAGTACTGTGACAGATAAACGTCTGGTTTTCATAAATTGCCTAGTCTGTGTTATTTTGTTCTAAGAGCATAAATTGACTAAGACAATTGGAGATTAGAAAAAGTATTTTGAAGTGGCATTTGAGAAGGGCTTGATAGATAAGATCTCTACAAATAGAAATAGAGAGATGGTTTCAAATCACCCAGGTGAAAGGAATAACATAGCTATGTTCAGTCTGAATGCAAAATGGAGATGGTGAAAAGTACATAAGATTCCACCACCAGTGGGAGGACAGAATTGTAATGTGGCAGCTATCTGTAAATATAATATTTATCACTCATTCACATTTATTTAGAGTCTAATGTGTTCTAGCCTCTGAAATTAAGCAAAGAAAATCTAGATATGCAGAAGTCCAAGACTTTGCCTTTGTGACAGTCAAAATAATGACCCCATAAAGATGTTCTAGTCCCTGGAATCTGTGACCATATTACTTTACATGGGGCAAGAGGGACTTTGGAGATGTGATTAACCCTTAAGTTAGGGGGATTATCCTTGATTATCTTGGGGGCCAATCTAATTGCATGTGTCTACAAAATCAGAGAATCTTTCCTAGCTACAGTCAGAAGGTGATATGACTACAGAACAACGGTCACAGACATCCGACATTACTGGCTTTGAAGATGGAGGGATTGTCCCATGATCCAAGGAATAGGGACAGCATCTAAAAGTTGGAAAAGGACATGGATTCTCTCTAGAGCCTCCAGAAAGCAATACAGCCCTGACAACACCTTGACTTAAGCCCAGTAAGACCACGGTCAGAGGTTTGCCCTACAGAACTATAGGGTCGTAAGTCTTTGATTTAAGCCACAAAATTGTGGTAATTTGTTATGGCAGAAATAGAAAATTAATTTTAAGAACTTTATTATTTGGAAGATAGGCAGACCAGAAAATCCAAATTATAATATAATTCGATTAAAACCTATGGAGATATGCGCTAGGTGTTTTAGAAAAGAATTGAGTATTAACAAGACTAACAGAAGAAATGTTCTAAAATTTACACACTAAGTACATCACATTTTTCTAATGATCACGTTGATAGAGCAACTTAGAATCCATGGTTTTAACAAACCAACAGGCTTATATACATAAATATAAAAATATTATATATATATATATATATAATATATAATATATGGAATAGCCCCATGGGCACGGGCAGCCCTGGGTCAAAGGGCAGCACTGTACTAGCAGCCCACACCCCACCTCACCCGCCTACCCTGAGCTGACTTGTCTGCTAAATACTAAATAAACCTGTCAACCTGTCTTGTTTAAGTAAGAAGGGCCTGGATGCAACAAGCCTGAGGGCTGTGACTGGGGGAAGAGAGAGCACAGATGGAGCTCCTCTTCCTTCTGCCACTGCCCACCAACTGAAAACCACCAACTGAAGTTTGCTTAGATTCTCAGCCTCCACCTTGTTCCCAACAAAACTCATGCAATACTTGGGCCCCCACTACAATCTCTGGAACAAAATATTCTACGGATCTGCTTTTTGAGCTGCAACTTATCTTACTAAATTCCAAGAAGCTTATGTAAGAGAAAACCACCAGATAATACAAGATTTTCAATGTAATCATCATTGCTACTTTTAACTAGAAATTATCCAGTAAATGTATTGTGAACTGCTTTGTGACTATGCTGATTTATTCAGTCTTTCTGATCCTTGGCTTGATTATCTCAAATATATGAGTATCACCAATTTTATAAAGTTGCTCTAAAAATTAAATGAAAGAAAAATAATCCTCATTCTCCATATATTGAACACTTACAAAATTATAGGCATTGTGTCCAGGTTTTTACGTACTTACCTGATAGAAGTCTCCTGACAACCCTGTCTTTTAAATTACAAGCATTGTGCCATGATTTTTACACATGTACGTTATGGAAGCCTCGTAACAATCACGTCTTTTATAGATCAGCAAACTGAGCCTCAGAAGAGTTAAAAACACATTCACCATTAAATCATAATGACGGATGGAACTGGGATTCAAATCTGGTTCTCTCTGATGCCAAAAATGGTGCAATTTAACGAGGACCAAATTACACCCAGAACATGGAGGGATCAAAACATGTGGATTCCCTTTTCTGCCCCCTCATGTGGGAATTTCAATAGCTTTCACTGCCTCAGAGCAATCCTAAACTCCCTCCCAGGTTGCCTTGCAATGGCCCCCTTATTCGTGGGGATGATTAGGAATCTGCATTTTTGGACCACAAGCATCTATAAAGAGTTGTGTTGATCAAGAATTAAAATTTACTAGGCCATAGGTTACTGTGAATTGTCTAGCTTCTCAGCAAAATATAAAGGGGCTATTCCATGTAAAAAAATCACAGGATCCACTGAATCTGTGCAGAAAGACATAGAACTATACTGCAGGAGCATCTTACAGACAGCTGCGCCTGAAGACCAGCCAAAACACACAAAGCAAGAGCACCTCCAATGACCAAGTGTGGTGGCTCTTGCCTGTCATCCCAGCAGTGTGGGAGGCCAAGGTGGGTGAATCACTTGAGGCCAGGGCTTTGAGACCAGCTTGGGCAACACAGTGAGACCTTGTCCCTACAAAAAAATCATTTTTTATTATTAGAATCAAGAAGAGTACCTCTAACCCCTTGCTGTTGCTTTAGGGTAGAGAGCTCTGGTCTAGAACTCAAGTTATGAAACTGTGAGTCCCAGTGGAACTACTTAAATTTAAATACAAGAGCTGTCAGACATTTCCTCTACAACAACGAAATCTGTAGCATCCATTTTGTACTTTGAAAACTTAGTTTTTGGCCAGCCTCTAGGAAGAAGAAGAGGGCCCAGAACTGGGAATATGGGTAGGGAGGGGAAAAGAAACCGGCTGGATGCAACAGGGAAAGACGAAGGGATGGAGACCCCAGGCAGAGCCAGTCCTCAGGCTTGGGGCCTGGGCCTAGGAAAGGAACTAGATGAAGAAGGGAGGAGCCCCAGGCTGTGGATGTCTCTGGGGGAACCTTGGTTGAGCAACGGCCAGAGGAGCTCCTGAGGCCAAGCGGTATCTGTCGCCTCCCTACCTTTGGACGTCTTCTGGTCGCCAATGTGCTGCAGGTCATGGCTCCGGAATCAAATTGGGCTCAAATTGTGTGAGCTCCAACGCAGTGGAGCCTGGCCCTACTCCCACCTACACCTCGTGGATCTCGGAGCTGCAGGATGGCTCTGCCCACCGCACCCTAAGCTGGCCTCGCTTGGGGCTGTCATCGGTGGACAGCATGTTCTGGGCGTCTCTGCTCCTTTCTGCTGGTGCCTGTGCCTGTGCTGGCCGCCCACTCATAGATATCAAAGCCACAGGACGGCCCCGCAGAAGCCCTGCGCTGGCCCTGCCGGGGGCTGGCTTTGGTGCACATGTGACTGGTCATCGTGGTCCCCATGGGGCACCTCTGTTCTTCTCAAGGCAGCTTGGGCCTTCGCTTGCCCCCACGTCTGCAGACCTGAGCACCTGCCCCCTCTCCCCAGGAAAGGCAACCAAATGCCACCAACTTAAGGCACCCACTGAAGGCCACCAACTGAAGGCCGGTTGCCCTGACAACCTGATGTGTCCTGCTTAGGAAGAACCAATCAGGCCTTGAGTTCCTTCCACGCGCTGCCCTTCCATTTGTGATGTGGGAGTCCAGGCACTGGCTCACAAAGCCGCACCCCCCAGTGACCCCGCCCCACCTTTCATTTATTGGTAACTGGTAGCAACTTTCAGGTTTCCTCACTGTGAATTATGAATATGAATTATGAAGAAATTACTGCATCCTAATGTACCTCATGCACTATCTGACAGCCAAAGTCCCCTCTTCCCCCATGGCCTCTGAGTTTTTTGGAAACTAGAAAGAAGATACATTTCTGCAGGTGCTTTCAGAAAAAAACATTGCCACGATCTAAGGTTACTCTTTGATGTCAAGTCATATTTCATATGTCATACATATTCATATTTATATTCATAATTCAAAATGCACATATTCAATCAAATTAACAGGACTAAAAAGGAAATTTTCTAAAATTTATACACTAAGTACATTATATTTTTCTAATGATCACTTTGATAGAGCAAACTTAGAATCTATGGTTTCAACAAATGAAGAGGCTTATGCAAGAGAAAACCACCACCTAACACAAGATTTTCAATGTGATCATCATTGCTACTTTTCACTAGCAATTATCCAGTCAATATATTGTGAACTGCTTTGTGACTATGATGATTTATTTAAACTTACTGATCCTTTGATTATCTCAAAAATATGAATAATACCAATTTTATAAACTTGTTCTAAAAATTAAATGAGATAAAAATAATCCTCCTTCTCTATATATTGAAAACCTACAAAATTAGTAATATTGTGTCCAGATTTTTACACACTTACCTTATTGAAGCCTCATCACAACCCCGTCTTTTAAATTACAGGATTATTCCCAGATTTTTAAACACTTACCTTATGCAAGTCTCATAACAATCCCATCATTTATAGATGAGCAAACTGAGGCTCAGACGAGTTAAAAACACATTCACCATCAAATCATAATGAGTGATGGAACTGGGATTCAAATCCAGTTCTCTCTGACACCAAAGGTGTTGCAATGTAATGAAGACCAAGTTATATCCAGCACATGGAGGGATCAAAACATGTGGATTCCCTTTCTCTACCCTCTTACATGTGAATCTCCATGGCTTTCACTGCCTCAGAACAATCCTAAACTCCCTCCCAGGTTGCCTTGCAGAGGATCCCTTCTTTTTGGGGATGATTAGGAATCCACATTTTTGGACCACAGGCATCTTTAAAGAGTTGTGTTGATCAAGAAATAAAATTGTCTAGGCCATAAGTTACTGTGAATTGTCTAGCTTCTCTGCAAAAAAAATAAATGGGCTATTCTCTTTATTTTTTGTTATTCCACTATTGAAAATAGCCTAGAATCAACCTAAGTGTCCAAGAAGACTTGGTTTAGCCCTGAGGATTACTAATGTTTTCACTGTGGTTATTGTGGTAGATTATATTACCATTCTCCCACTATCTGGTCTTCCTGCTCTAGTGGCCCTATATCCTAGAAGATTATATATTTCTGTCCTATTGAAGGAAGGGTCAGATTTAGACATTTGACCTGTTTAGCCAGTGAAATGCAGGTAGAAGTGGCATGTGTAACTTGTAAGCAGAAAGCTTCCTTTTTCAAGGATCTGGGAGCCATCCCTTTCAAATGTAATCCTCCAGAAAGATAATACCTTATTTCCCAGTCTCCATGAGAGAGTAAGAGCCTAATCTTGCTCCAAGTTGTAAAAATTACCTTATATCATGAAGATAAAAGAAAGTTTATTTTTCCTTTGAAAAAAGACAGTTAGTAAAGACAGGTGGCCTATGATCGCCCCCTTACCCTCACTTTCAAAAACTCCACGGCCTTTTGTATCAGGGGAGCTGAGTTCAGACTAGGTCTGGACTCTCTCCAGTATTGCAATAGCTTGAATAATATCTTCCTTACTTATTTAACTTTTTCCAGTGCAATTTTTTCTTTGACTCTTTCCTCCCTCTCTAAAACTTACACTGAAATTTTAGTAGGATTCAAGGCAGCCAATCTCGAAGCTTGAATATATAAAAGAACCCTTTAAGATTAAAAAACCCATATTATCTTCCATAAGTAATTTCTTCGGACTATTGCCTTATTAAAATTTTCTAGTTCTTATTTTTGCATTGAAAAGGAGAATGATGATTTTTAAATAAGTTCCTACTCACTTTTAATTTCTACTATGACAGTTTTATTGATTTTCATGGCAATAGATTCCCCTGGTTCAACAAGAAGGCCAGAACAAGGAAGTACAGAAACATCTCAATATATCTCAAAAAGTTATTTAACATGGACAGTGTCATTTAGTATCTTTAGCATCCCTATCAAATGGATGCCATTATTATCCCCCTTTTACAGGATATTAAAACTTACATACTGTAAATAACCAGCTGAAAGTCATATAGCATTGAAAATACAATAAGCATACAAAGAAGCAATGGCATTTGAAGTGGAGGAGGGTGAAGGATTAAAAGGCTAAACTTAGTTTGGTTAAGAAAAAAGAAAACTAGAAGGTGGCAAACTCTTGTTGGGAAGGGGAAGGATTTGGGCAGAGCAAGGTAGTGGAGTAGATCTCTCCAGTAATCATACCCCTACGGACACACCTATATGAACAACTATCCACATATGAAATTACCTTTACAAGAGCTAATGAACCCTGAATACATGAGTGAGTCAATGAAGCCCCTTTGGACTGCAAAGAGGAGTAAAACCATGCTTGGACAGTAAGGGAAACAGTACTCTGTGACTGTGATACTCCTCCCCCAGGCCATAATGGTATTATATGCAGAAAGTCCTCCTGAACTCACAGTTCTTACACTGAATAACGTGAGCAGAAGTTGAATATTTTTTCCACCATACGGAGTGCCTTCACAGTAGACTCACTCCTGCATCAGCCCACAAGAAGCACCATGAGTGTCAACAGAGCTGAACCACCAGAGGCATGCTAGGGACATAGAGAAGGGATTGGGTTAGCAATACTTACTATATGAAACTTAGCAGTGGCTAGCCATTCCTACCAGAGGAAATATTATACCAGACAGGTTGTTTATGGGCATCATGCTGTGGGAAACATGATACACAGACTGTCCAGATTTGATGGCCTGACTTGTTCTCCCCCTACAGACAGCAGCCTCTCTGTGGATCACCCATGGGCCCATCCAGTTACATTGCATCAGTGGTGAAGCCCCATTGCAAGACTTATGTCTAACCTTTGCTTTGGGCACCTCCTAATGCTAAAATGGAATATAATGGAAATCCACACAGAATTTCTAAACAAGCCCACTGAGAAACAGTCAAAAACAAACCCAGACTGAGAAGACTGAAATAAATATTTAATTCATCAATGTGTAGACAGAGATGTACATCTACAAAAAATAAGAATAGCCTAGGAAAAACTGCCTCACCAAATGGAGAAAACAAGGTGTGAGCAACTGAACCTAAAGACATGGAAATGAATGATGTGGCAGACAAAAAAATTCAAATAGCTGTTTTTTTAAAAAAAAAAATCTGTGCACTTCAACAAAGTACAGAGAAACAATATGGAAATTTATGAGAAATTCAACAAAGAATTTAAAATAATGGGAAAAAATCAAATGGAAATCCTGGAGGTGGAAAGTTCAGTAAACAAACTGAAAAATGCACTACAGGGCATCAAGAGCAGAACTGATCAAGCAGAAGAAAAAAAGCAGTGAGCTCAAAGACAGGCTCTTTGAAAATACACTGTCAGAGTAGAAAAGAGAAAAAAAATGAGAACAAAGAAAACTTATGAGATCCATGGGACACCATCAAAAAAACAAATCTACAGTGTTAAAGTGGAACTAAGAATGAAAAAGAGTTAGAAGCTTATTCAGAGAAATAACAGACAACTTTTTAAACTTGGAGAAGGATAAAGATGTTTAGGATGGCCAAAGCTCACTAATCTGATTTAATCTGAATAAGACAACCACAAGACACATTATAATTAAATTTTCAAACATCAAAAACAAAGAGTAGGTCCTGAAAGCATTAAGAAAAAGGAAGCATATAACACATAAGAGAATTCCAATGTGCCTGACAGCAGACTTCTCAGCAGAAACAATATGGGCCAGGAGAGAGTAGGATAATAGAATCAAGTGCTGAAGAAAAAACTGTCAACCATGAATACAGTATCCAGCACAGATCTCATTTAGAAATGAAGGAGAGGTTAAAACATTCTAAGACAAACAGAAGATGAAGGAATTCATTGTAACCATACCTGCCTTAAAAGAAATGTTAAAGAACAGTCTTCAAACTGAAAGAAAAGGTCACTAATATGTAATACCAAAAATTGGAAGGTATAAATCTGCAGTAAAAATAAATATTCAGACAAATTCAGGATGCTCTAATATAGTAAGAATTGAATGTAAACCACTTACTTTTTTTAGTAAGAAGGTTAAAATACAAAACAAAAACAATAACAACTAAAATAATTTGTTAAGGGATAAGTGATATAAAAGATGTAAATTAAGACATCAAAAATGCAAAATGTGGGGGAGTGATTGAGTTAAAGAGCAGAGTGTTTGCTTTTCCCCATTTCTTATTATCAAAATTAAGTTGTTATCCATTCAAAATTACCTATTGAAACTATAAAATATTCTTCACATGCCTCATAGTAACCAAAAGGCAAACATTTTTATTAGATACACTAAAAATAAAATAACAAGAAACAAAAACACACAGAGAAAATCACTTAACTACAAAGGAAAACAACAAAGGGACAAAAAGGTGCAAAAATTCTAAAAGACAACAAGAAAACAGTATATGGCAGTACAAGTCCTTATCTATCAATAATTACCTTGAATGGAAATAGATTAAACTATCCAGTAAGAAGACAGAGAATGGGTAAATAGATTAAAAACAAGACCTAACTATATTCTTTCTACAAGAGACTCCAATCTCCTGTAAATACACACATAAATTGAAACTGATCAGATGAAAAAATATATTTTATGATAATGGAAACCAAAGAATGCAGAAGTAGTTATATTTATATCAAATAAAATAGATTTCAAGTAAAACAACTGTAAACACAGACAAACAAGGCCATTATGTAATAATAAAAGGGTCAGTACAACAAGAGAATACAATAATTGTAAATATATAATGCACTCAACATTGGAGAACCTAAATTTATAAAGCAAACATTAATAGATCTAAAAGGAGAGACAAAAAACTGAAAAATAATAGTAAGAAACCTCGACATCCGGTTTTCCACAATGAACAGATCATTGAGAGAGAATCTCAACAAAGAAACATTTAAACTGCACTCTAGATCAAAAGAATTTAACAGTTATTTACATAACATTTCATCCAACAATTGCATAATTTACTGTCTTTTCACCTGCACATGGAATATTGTCCATGATAGATATATTAGACCACAAAACAAGTCTTAGCTATCAAAAAATCAAATCATATCATGTGTTTTTTTAACCATATGGAATAAAGCTAGAAATAAACAACAGGAGGAACTTCAGAAATTGTGAAATACATACAAATTAAACAACATATCCTTAAACAACTAATGGGTCAATGAAAAAAAATTAATTTTAAAAATGTCTGAAGACAAATAAAAATGAAATCAGAACATATGAAAACTTATGAAATACAGCAAAACAGTCCTTAGAGGGAAGTTTATAGCAATACATTTCTACATCAACAAAGAAGAAAGATAATGAATAAACCGTCTAACAATGTATTTCAAGGAACTATAAAATCAAGAACAAACTAGACCCAAATTAGCAAAAGAATATAAAGATCAGAGCACAAATATACAAAATGAAGACAAAAAATACAACGACTAATTAAATGAAGGAATCTTTTTTGAAAAGGTAAAATTGACAAATGTTTTGTCATACAAAGAAAAAAGGAGAAAATTCACATAAAATCAGAGATGAAAAAGGATATACTATGATAGACTCTAGAGAAATATAAGGAATCATGAGTAAGTACTACAAACAATTATACGCCAATAAATTGAAAAACTTAGAAGGAATACGTATGCTCTGGACACTTATAACCTATCAAAATTGAAGAAAGAAGAAAAAGAAAATGTGAACACACCAATGACAAATAATGAAATTGAAGGAGCAATTTAGGCTCTCAGTCAAGGAAAATCCAAAAGACTTCACACAGTAGCTCACACCTGTAATCTCACAGTTTAGGAGCCCAAGGCAGGAGAATCACTAGAGGCCAGGAGTTCAAGATTAGCCTGGGCAACACAACGAGACTCCATCTCTAAAAATAAAAATAAAAAGTCCCCAGGTATAGTGGTGTGTACTGGTACTCAGGAGGCTGAGGCAGGAGGATCACTTAAGACCAGGAGTTTGAGGCTGCAGTCAGCTATGACTGCACCACTGTATGCCAGCCTCAGTGATAGAGTGAGATTCTGTCTCTAACAAAATAGAGGAAGAAAGAAAAGTTCACAACTTGGTGGTTTTCGCTGACAAATTCTACAAAACATTTAAAAAATTTATACAAATTATTTACAAACTATTTCAAAAAATGAAAAGGAGGGAACTCTTCCAAACTCATTCTATGAAGACAGCATTTCCTGATTCCAAAATGAGACAAGAACAGCAAATAAAAGAAAACTCCAGACCAATATCATTGATAAACATAGATGCAAACATTCAAAACCAGCAGTTCTAGCAATGATATTTCAAAAGCACATTAAAAAGATTATCCACCATAATCAAATGGTATTTACCTGGGGAGGTAAGGATAGTCTAATACATGTAAATCAATAAAATGTGATACATCACATTAAACAATGAAGGATTAAAAACATGTAATCGTTTCAATAGATGCAGAAAAAGCACTTGACAAAATTAGATATCCTTTTATGATCAAACCTTTTAACAAATTAGTTATAAAAGAACATAATAAAATAAAGACCATATGTGATAACCCACAGGCAACATTATACTGAATGGTGAAAACTTGAAAGCTTTGCCTCTAGGATCTGGAATAAGGCAAGGATGTTCACTTTAATCACTTTTTTCAACATAGTACTGGAAGTCCTAGTCAGAACAATTAGGTAAGAGAAAGAAATAAAGGCATCCAAATTGGAAAAAAAAAAGTCAAATTGTCCCTCTTTGCAGATGACATGATCATATATGTAAAAAACCCTAAATACACCACTGAGAATCAGAAATAGTAAATGAATATAATAAGGTTTCAGGATACAAAAGCAACATAAAAAATCAGTAACATTTCTATACACCAATAACAGACTATCTGAAAAAGGAATCAAGAAAGTAATCCCATTTAAAATAACTATTAAAAAAACAAAATACCTACAAGTAAATTAAGCCACAGAAAGATGAAAATTATTAAACATTGATAAAAACAATTAAAAAATTAAAATAAATAGAAAGATATCCCATGTTCATGGACTAAAAGAATTAATATTGTTGAAATGACCATACTATGCAAATCAATCTATAAATCCAATATAATCTCTATCAAATTTCCAATTTCATTCTTCACAGATGTTAAAAAAATCTTAAAATTCATGTGAAACTGCAAAACACCCCAAATAGCCAAATAAATCTTAAGCAAAAAGAGCAATGCTAGAGGTATTACACTATCTAATTTCAAAATATATTACAAAGCTATCTTAACTAAAACAGCATGGTATTGGCATAAAAACAGGCATGTAGACCAGTGGAACAAAAATAGAGAACCCAGGCATAAAACCTCATATTACATGCAACTTATTTTTGACAAAGGTGCAAACATTCAATTGGGAAAAGACAGTCTTTTCAACAAATGGTGCTGGGAAAGTGCATATCCACATACAAAAGAATGGAAGTAGACCCCTATCTCTCATCATATACAAAACTCAACTCAAAATAAATTAAATATTTAAATGTAAGACCCCAAACTATGAAACTAGTAGAAGAAAACTTAGGTAAAATGTTATATGTCATTGGTCTGGGCAAGGACTTTTTAGAAAAGACATCAAAAGACATGCACAACAAAAGCAAAAATAAACAAATGGGATTACACCAAATAAAAACTTCTGCACTGCATAGGAAACAATCACAAGAGTGAAAACACAACCTACAAAATGGGAGAAAATATATGCAAACTCTTCACTTCATAAGGGGTTAATATCCCAAATTTATAGAAAACTCAAACAACTCAATAGCAAAAATACAAATTGGATTAGAAAATAGTCAAGACAGCTGAATAGACATTTCTCCAAATAAGACAAAAAAATCACCAACAGATATATGAAAAAATGCTCACCATCACTAATAATCAGAGAAATGCAAGTTAAATCCACAGTGAGATATCATCTTACCCTGCTTAGAATGCTTTTTATGAAAAAGTCAAAAAATAACAAATGCTGGCAAGGATGTGAAGAAAGGGGAATTTTCATAAACTGTTGGTGGAAATGTAAATTAGAGCAATTGTTATGGAAAACAATATAACTTCCAAAAACGTTAAAAATAGACTTATCACAAAATCCAACAATCCCACTACTGGGTATATATTCAAAGAATATTAAATCAGTATGTCAAAGAGATTTCTGGACTCTCATGTTAATTACAGCACTATTCACAATAGCCTAGAATCAACCTAAGTGTCCATCAATGAATGAATGGAGAAAGAAAATGTGGCATATATGCTGTATTTGGCCATTCTTGCATTGCTATAAAGAAATACCTGAGATTGGATAATTTATAAGAAAAGAGACATAATTGGCTCCTGGTTCCATGGGCTGTACAGGGAGCATAATGCCAACATCTGCTTGACTAGTCAGGAAGCTTGGGAACTCGTTCACTATCATGTGGATATCACCAAGCCATGAGGGATCCACCTCCATGACCCAAACACCCTCTACCAGGCTCAATCTCTAACAGTGGGGATTACAATATAACATGAGATATGGGTCAGGACAAATATCCAAACTATATCATATGCACATTTGGCCATAATGAAGAGTAAAATCGTGTCACTTGTGACAACATGAATGAGCATAGACGACATTGTGGTAAGTGAAATAAGCTAACCATGGTAAGACAAATATCATATGATCTCATTCATATGTGAAATCTAAAAACACTGATCTACTAGAGAGTAGAAGAGTGGTTACCAGACTGGGAAAGATAGGGAGGAGAGGTTTTAACAATGTGTCATGTATCAAAATACCACATTGTACCCCATCAACATGTGAAATTATCATGTATTCACTTAATAAAAGAAAAGAAAAAAGAAAATGGAAGAGTCAAGATACTGGGGCACTGGAAGAGATAGAAGAGAAGGTGAGTTGGCAGTAAGGAAGAGAGAGTCTGAAAGAGCATGTCACAGAGTGGAACATTAAAGTTTATAACATTAGAAATCAATTTTTAAGTTATTGAAAAGTTAAGTTTATAGCCATGAAAGTGAGTAGCTCAATTGAAGTGAAAGTAAAAGTCAATGAAAGATTAAATTAGAAAATATATTGCTTGGCATTTAGTAATTACTTCAGAAATATTAATAAATCTTAAGAAAATTAAGAACACCAAAGCATTCATGGTGGGCCATTATCATAATACGAATTTATGTGGTAATATCTTATTCTTTCCAGTGAAGGGAGTAATTCAACAGTCTTGATTACAGGTTAGAAAATGATTTCTCCAGGTGTGACCTACTGACCACATTCATTGTATTTGAATTGCTTGAGCAATTTGTTTCAGGAGAAAATGGAAAGATTTTAAGATGGACCAACGAAATTACCACTGAGTGTCTTTAATGGAAATCTCATCCTTGTCTAGAATAACCTGGGTTATCTGTTTCTATGGGGTCTCTGTGCCTTTTGTTTTCTTTGTTATTTGCAATTCTGTTAGTTGTAGATTACTGATAGTAATGCAAATATTCTTGTCTATAGACAGGCAAATGATTGATTTTGGTGGAAGTATAATTAATTTTCCTTTTTCCACCTTCCATCAAGAAGTCAGTTTTGAACCTATCAAGCAAATTTATTTCAGTGTTCCTTAGTGCCTAGATTGTGTGGCTCTTAATTTTCCATAAAACTTAGCATAACATCTTACTGGCTCCCTCATTAAATAAATGAGTTAAAAATCTTAGACAAGTGTTCATTTTATAATTGTAAGTCATAATTTACCCTATTTTAAGCAATTTACCTTTATCATTCCTAAAAATCCAGATTACTATGTCCCATGCTAGACCTATAGAATCAAAATCTCAGGCCTAAGGCACAAGAATTTACATTGTTAGTAAGATTTTCAAGTGATTTTTAGGCATACTAAATTGTATTAACCTTTACCATTCTAATTCTTTAAACTGGAATTATTGTATTTATAATTCCATCTTCATCAAATTAAACTTTTGGTTAGCAAAAACGGTAGAAACCCCCTTATTCAATCAGATTGGGACCAGTAATAAACAGATTAATCACAAATTTAAGTTAGATGGAGGAATCATAAGAAGTATTAGATGTAAGTCCTTAAAACTTAACTTTAATTTAAAAGACATGTGTAAATAAATTTGCCAGAATTTTGATGACAAGGTCAAAGCCTTGCACGGATTCAGAGTGGAGTTTCTTGTGGAAACTATGGCAATGATATGTTGTCATGGATTTCTTGTTCACTTTCTGTGAAGACAACTGGGGTAAAGCAATCTGAAATCCTAGATTACACAATTTTTCCCATTTGTTTCTAGTTGTCTTGCCAACAGTTAAGCTGACAGCAACTGTTTGAGTTTCTCATTTTTTCAACACATTTAGTTTATTTCTCAAAGAAACAACAATACTACTCTTGTTATACTCATTTTCTCAGTTTACATAATATTTATTTATTTTTTTATTTATTTATTTAGAGACAGAGTCTCACTCTGTCACCCAGGCTAGAGTGCAGTGGTGCGATCTCTGCGCACTGCAAGCTCCGCTTCCCGGGTTCATGCCATTCTCCCCCCTCAGCCTCCCCAGTAGCTGGGTGTACAGGCACCCGCCACCACGCACAGCGAATTTTTTTGTATTTTCAGTGGAGACGGGGTTTCACCGAGTTAGCCAGGATGGTCTCGATCTCCTGACCTAGTGATCCGCCCATCTCAGCGTCTCAACATAATATTTAATTAAATCGCATAGCTACAAGAACAAGAACAAATGGTGTAAACATATTTAGGAATCAACACAGCTTCCTCTTAGAAACTATACAATGTCTGTGATGGAAGGATAAATGTACAGGTATTAAAAGTAGCTCAAAGGCTTTCAGTTTACAGTGGACATCAGTCAATAAGTTGTACAGGGGTACCAGAAAGTGCTGATTGCAAATCAGTTAAGTGGAGGTCAGTTAAGGCAGCATCCACTGTATCTTAATTTGTAAAGTGAATGTTCTAAAACTGGGTTCACTTTTGCTATAAAGGACCAGATGATAAATGTTTTAGGCTTTGTGAACCATACGGTCTCTATAGCAACCATTCAACTCTACCATTGTAGCAGGAAAGCACCATAGATCCATAGATGTGCTCCAATAAAACTTTATTAAAACAGGCAGCTGGTCTGAGGGCCATGTATATATCTTGCTGTTTTCATACAATTTTCTAAGTTAGTAGTTCCCTACCTTTTTAACAATCAAGGATTACTTTTAATCCTCTCCTCTGATTTTATGTTTCAAAAGCCTTAAGAAAACCCCACAAAATATATTTATTTTGTAACTTTGGGGGGGTTCTTATTTTACTAATAAGTAATCAATGATATATAAAGGCTACCCACTAGGTCAGTATGAAATAATCAACATTATTAACTCTAATGACTTAGTTCTGGATAGAAATAAAAAGTATTCAACTATATATATATAACTTAAAACCTATATAGCTTTTTCTGGTGTAAATATATAACTTTTCGAGATTTTTCAAGTATTAAATAAAACTTTTGGAAATCCTCACACCTGGCTCCCTATGATGACATTCAAGAATTCTTAGGATTCTGGGAATCTTAGAATGAAAGTCACTGCTCTGTAGGAATGAATGAAAGAATAAGAAAGGGAAGGAAGAAGAAAGAGCATGTTTACTAAATGTAAATCATCAAGGAACGTTTATTTTATTAATAAATTTGTCAACTTTAGGTTGTCAAATCTAACAAGATACCAACATGGCATTCATGGTGATCACACCTCTAGTCAAATTTTATTTTAGTTCATTGACTATAGTATTAATATCCTGAAATACTCAAAAATTCTGTCCTAATTCTGTGAATAATTCACTTATTAATCACCCTATACACTACTTAATGAATGGAATGGTGCTTGGAATAAAGATAATTACAGGGCTAAAAGGGTTTTCTCTAGAGGCAGGTTATAAGATTTTGTTGTCTGATTGGATTAAAACAAAATTAATCAATATTTTCTGCAACCAGTGGCTTTTGACTTAGTGGTCTATTAATATCTATCAATCACTATAACCTCAGTCCTATTTCCTCCATTCTTCTTTTTGCTATCATAAAAATTTGTCCATTTTTTTTCCTGTTAGATCTATATGTTTCTCCTCTTTTCTTTTCATCCAAACAACTGGACATCAACTTAGTACAGATAGTGCAATTGATCCAAACCCTATGGAACTCACTGTTTCCATTTACATAACTTACATAACTGTCAAGCTGAAATCACTCTCAAATTTTTTTAATTCAAAATTTTAATTTCATTTAATCATATTTATTTATTCATTAATTTATTTTGAAAATAATTTTAACTTGTATTTTACATTCAGGGGTACATGTGCCAGTTTGTTACATGGGTATATCTCATAATGCTGAGTTTTGGGGCATGAATGATCCCATCATCCAGATGCTGATTTGGTATGGTTTGACTCTGTGTCCCCACCCAAATCTCATGTTGAATTATAATTCCCAATGTAGGGGGAATGACCTGGTGGGAGGTGATTAGCTCATGAGAGCAGACTTTCCCCTTGCTGTTCTTAGATGGTAAGTGAGTTCTCTTGAGATCTGTTGGTTTAAACATATGGCACATCGCCCCTGGCTCACTTGCTCTCCTGCCGCCATGGTAGAACGTGCCTTGCTTCCCCCTTCACCTTCTGCCATGATTATAAGTTTCCTGAAGGCTCCCAGCCATGCTTCCTGTACAGCCTGTGGAACTGTGAGTCAGTTAAACCTCTTTTCTTTATAAATTACCCAGTCTCGGGTAGTTCTATATAGCAGTGTGAGAACAGATTAATACATGAGCATAGTACCCAATAGTTAGTTTGTCAAACCTTGCCTTCCTCCTTCTCCCCTCTAGTAGTCCCAGTGTTTATTCTTTCCATCTTTATGTCCATAAGTACCCAGTGTTTAGCTCCCACTTATAAGTGAGATCATGTGGTATTTCGTTTTGTATTCCTGCATTAATTTACTTAGGATAATGGCCTTCAGCTGCATCCATGTTGCTTCAAAGGACAAGATTTTGTTATTTTTATGGCTTCATAGTATTCCATGGTGTGTGAAATGGTTAGGAAGGTGGCCCCTATAAATCTCATGGTAAAATGTAATCCTCAGGGTTGGAGGTGGGGCCTGGTAGGAGATGTTTAGGTCATGGGGGTGGATCTCTCATGATCTGATACCGTCCTTGTGATAGCGAATTCTTTCAAGATCTGGTTGTGTAAGGGTGTGTGCTGCTTACCCCCACTCCCATTCTCTCTTGCTCCTGCTCTGGCCATGTGATAAGCCTACTCCCTCTCCACCTTCCATCATGAGGAAAAGCTCCCTGCAGACTCCACAGGTGCAATCAGATGTCGTCACCATGCTTCCTTTACTGCCTGCAGAGCTATGAGCCAATTAAATCTCTTTTCCTTATAAGTTACCTAGTCTCAGGTATTTCTTCATAGCAATGCAAGAATGGCCTAATAATACTGTGTGGATGTACCACATTTTATTGATCCAATCCACTGTTGATGGGCACCTAGGCTGACTCCATGTCTTTGCTATTGTGAATAGTGCCACGATGAACATGCAAGTGCATATGTCTTTTTGGTAGAATAATTGACTTTCTTTGGGTCATATACCAGTAATGGAATTGTTGGCTTGAAAGGTAATTCTATTTTAAATTCTTTGAGAAATTTCCAAACTGCTTTCAACAGTGGCTGAACTAATTTACATTCGCACCAATTATGTGTAAATGTTCCCTTTTCTCCAGAGCCTCCCAAGATCTGTTGTTTTTCGATTTTTTAATAGTAGCTATTCTGACTGGTATAGGATAGTATCTCGTTTTGGTTTTGATTTGCACTTCTCTCATGATTAGTGATGTTAAGCCTAATCTCTGCCACCTGAAAACTGGGAAAATACAGTGTCACTTGTCAAAATAAATTGTTTTACTTTGCTTTAAAAACAATCAATTGAGTAGTATATTTCTTCCAGCAAAATTAAGAAGTAAACATTCAGAAATGTACAGTACCTTGCTGTTAAGTCTTCGCACAAGTATACCAATCCAACATAAAGGCCATCTTAAACTTTCATTTGAAATGAAAGACAATTTTTAAGAGGTTAAGGGCTAGTAATTTGTTAAAGTCCTGAAGTTAAATCAGCTCAAGTAAATAAAAAGACTTTCTTTTAATTAAAGCCTTTTAAATGAACACTTTAAAGCATAGCTGGTTTCTCCCTCAAATCTTGTCCAAAGCCACTGTTTACAACTCAGTATATCAAAGAAGATTTCAGACATGATTGTTAAGCTCCCTCAACTTACAATGTGCTATTTGCAACCCTAGATGGCTATCATTCTGACTTTTCTACCTTTTAGCAACAATAAGCACACCATTCCCATTTCTCCCCCACCCTGACTTACCCCTCTTTGCATTTAATATATAATTTTTCTCAGAGTGTTCTTACACATCTTTAACGTAAATATGACAAAAGCACACAGTATAGTACATGTGCCACATGTATAAATGTTGTATCTAGTCATACAATTTTCCTTGTAAAAAAGAAATATTTTAATTTCAAAAACAAAGACTCTAGGAATCTTTTCTAGCTGCCAGTCATAAAAACGTAAATTCCTGGTTAGATTCCCAAATTTGCCTGACCATAAGAACCACTTGTGATACCTGTCAAACACATGTATTCTGAGTCCCATCCGTGATCTCCTGAATCAGAATCAGCAGGTGAGAGGCCTGGGAATACACATTTTAAACAAACGTCCACAGTGATTACGATTAGTCAAGCTTGAAAAAAATTTCACTAGGATTTTTATGACTGAATAACCTCACAAACATAGGAAAGTTACTGGAGAAAAATATGGGCAGAATTTCAGAATTCTGCCTTTGCTGAAAGTGTTTGTTCCCTCCTCCTCTACTCATCAAGACCTGACTGCTTATGTAACTCCCCCAAACCACCAACACCTGGAAGGAGTTGAAAATGATTTTAATGAAGAAGAAAAGCTGATGTTTAATTTCAAAACTGACGGTGACAATAGAAGGGAGAGGCATGAATTCATCTTGATTCTAACACAAAGCATTGTATTTGAGTCTACAAATGAAATTGGTTTCATTTTTATTTTTTGTAAGTTTTTGCCAAACTCTATGCATATATAGAGGCTGGGCAAGAAAGAAAGAAATCCAGAAATATGGCATATGCCATCCCTTATTTATTTCCCCATGGGACCAGCCAACAGCTTTTTCACCTAGTCCCTGCTTCAAGCTGACTTTGTGTCTACTTCTCTATCAGAAATGGAGCTTCCCTAAAGACTGCCTCAATGTCAGTTACCCAGAGGCCTTTTTTCCATCTTGTGCTCCTAAACTTCTATGATATTAAATGATATTACCCTTTCTGGAAATTCTCCTTAGCTTTGATTTTATAATTTTACTCTAACTCTGTTTCATTCCTTCTTTTATAGCCTTTCTTTTCTCTATCCCTTTACTGCAGACATGTTGTACAGCTTTGTTCTTGACCTTCTGATATCTCCACATTCATTCCCTCAGAGCATGTATCCATTTTTTTGGTGTCGGCATTCCTGACTATCTGATTATTACCATCATATAACGATGTTGGTGATGAGCATAGCTAACATATCCTAGGCATTTTCCATGTAGGTTATAATAAGCACCCTATATAAATCGTACCATTTAATTCTTCAACCCTAAATGGTACTATTACTAACCACATTGTATGAGATGAAGACACTGAGATTTTCATCAAAACCATGGAAAGCCAACGTGAGGAGCCCCTGTGTGTCTCCTTTGTTAATGCCTCTGGGCATCATGGCATGTGGATTGCCATGGAATGGGGATTAGGAAGGGCAGCACTGTGAAAACACCAGAAAATATGTTATGATAGTGGGTAAGGACGCTCATCTCTGCACATTGAGATGGTTTTGTTTCTGAGTCAGGTTTGAGATGAGCCAATCCTGACTCCGTGGTGCTACCAGGGATCACGAATTTAATAAGATCTTCGTGGATGCTTGGAACCCAACTGGTCTGTTTTCTACTTTAAGGAAAGAGTCACAGCTTGAGTGGGGTGGTTTTGGTGTCACATACGCTATCAATAATACCCACCGTTTTGGTGTCACATACGCGATTAATAATACCCACCGCTGCAGAGGAATCACCGTGGACTACTCCTCATTTCATCCCGTACCCTTGCGATGGATCCCTCTCACCTGTTTACTGATTTCATTCAAATTCTTCAGCGACCACTGGACCCCGACTTGCCTTCTCTATCCTGGTTCCCATCACTCTGCTTTACAGGCCTCGCCCGCTCGCGGCTCCTCACACCAGCGCTGCACGACTCCCTCCACGCCTCTGCCCTGTTTCCTCCATCAGACAGGGCTAGCTTCCTCCATCTCTATAGGGAAAAAGCCTGCCCAGAGTTCAAGACCCTCCTCAGATGCCGCCTCCACGATTAGGCTTCTTCCTGACCCCTGAGCCTGTAACACGCGCCTGTAACTCTCCACCTCAGCCCACATTCCCACAGCACTCGCGACGTCCGCGGCCCTCAACATGGCGCTTCATTCTATTTTAGGGTATTTCCTGCTTGTTTCCTGCACACACAGTCGCGCGAGGCACAGCCCCGAGTGACCCAGGCACGAGTGGCCAGCGCTTCCAGACGCGCCGCTGCAGGCCGGCGAGGGAAGCCTGAGACGCTTCCTGCCCCCGCGGGGACCTTCGCCAGCCCGCAGCTCTAGCGGGAGGCGGTTCCACAGCGAGCCCGGCAGTCCCGCCACCGTCAGCACCCCCGCCTCGGGAGGGCTTTCCCCACCTCTGGGAGGCACGAATCCTCAGGGGCTCCTTGGGAGGTCGCCAGGGAGCAGCTGCGTACGGACACCTTTCGGCCCTCTGCGGCCGCCGTAGCTCCCCGGCAGAAACCCGGAAGTGGAAATCTCAGGCATTCAGCGTTTGGGTGAAGACGAAGGCAGGTTCTGGACAGACTTACGCTGTCAGGGAGTGTTGACTTCGCCTCCACTTCTGTTCCTCCCCGCCGTGGTGCTGCTCCGGGTCACATATCGTTCTGAGCCAGCTTCAGCCTCTCCGCGCAGAAGTCTCCCAGAGCCATGGCCGAGTACTCTTATGTGAAGTCTACCAAGCTTGTGCATAAGGGAACCAAGGCGAAGAGGTGGGTCCTGCAGCTCCGGCGGGAGCCTCCTCAGTTCTTTTCGGACGCACTCCACCCGCTCGAATCTGGTGGAAGCCGTGGCACGGAGAGCCGGCTTTGTGGCCTCCCAGGCTTCGCCCTGGCCCCTGTCCGGGCTGGACGGAGGCCGGACCACGGTTCCTGGCGCCTGTGCAGAGAGGGGCAGCCTCCCGCGCGGACGACCCTGGAAACAGGATAGATGGGCGGGTGACCCGTGGCCCCGTACCCACGAGTTTCGGTCCCCTGAGGCATCTCTCCAGGCCTCTGCCTGGTGGGTCTGCGTTAGTCTGATCTCGTAGTTCATGATAATAACTTCCTTTATTAGGGATTATTCTTTTCTCCATTGTCTCTTCCTGGAAAAATTATTGATTAATTTTTTGTAAGCTAATATGTAGAGTGAAACCAGGATGAATCACACAGTGGTTGAGGTGTATATGGGCTTTGATAGGGATATGGGCTGGAACCTGCACTCTGTCATTTACTAATTTTGTAATTTGTGGCAAATTGGTTAATATATCTGAACTTCCATTTACTCATTAAGAGATCAAATATCTTTGAACCTCCGTTTACACATTTATACTTTCAGACCATTTTTTATACCTTTAGAAGACTGTGAGGATTAAATGAGAGAACATATATGCAGTAAATAAATTGAGCCAAATGTGAGGAGGAGGTCGTAGTGGTAATTTGTTAGCTCTTTAGGAGAAAAATACCTGTGCATTCATATCCCTGCTTCTTTTTTAACTGGCAGATTTGCCTGAGGTTGACTATACATACAAATATTGAGCATTTCCTCCTGGTCTCCGTGATAAACAAAGGTTTTGATATTGTTCGGCGAGATGGAAAGAAAATATCAAGGAGTGAGCTGAAGCCACTGCCCTTGAGAACCCTCTCGAGGAGTCTGGCCTCATGAAGATGCCAGAATAAACGGCAGATATATCCTGAATGAATGTGAGATTTTTACCCTGTGAATTTCCTGTGAGGAGTGGTGAGTTATCTTCTGAAAACTTTATGATGAAAATGCAGACAAGAGTGTCTTAAGATTATCGTAATAATCATAATTAATGCTTATATAGCACTTTCAATGCACCAAGAAATTGTTGTAGGCACTTTGCACGTTAACTTTTTTCAAATCGCTCTTGGGGTTTTTTTTTATTGCGATGTAATTCATAATTATAAAATTCACCCTTTTGTACAGTCAGTGGTTTTTAGTATATATTCAAGAGGTTCACTACTGTCTAGTTGCTCAGCATTTTCATCATCTCAGAAGAATCTCTTCCTACCCATTAAAGCAGTCACATCCCATCCTCCCCCTCTCCTAGTCCTTGGCAACCACTAGTCTGCTATCTATGTGAAATTGCCTATTCTGAATATTTCCTAAGAAATCATGCAACATGTGGCCTTTTGTATCTGGCTTCTTTCACTTATAACATTCTTGAGGTCCATCATTGTTGTAGCACTTGTTCCTTTTTATGACTGCATAGTATTCCATTGTATGGATGTAGCATTTTGTTCATCCATTCATCAGTTGATGAACATTTAGGTTGTTTCCCCTTTTTGACTATTGTGACTAATGCTAGTGTGAATATTCTTATGTAAGTATTTTTGTGGGTGTATGTTTTCATTTCCCTTGGGTATACATAGGAGTAAAATTGCTGGGTCATATGGTAACTCTTTAACTTTTTGAGGAACCCCAAACTGTTTACTGTAGATGCTGCATCATTTTACATTTCCACCAGCAATGTGTGAGGATACATATTACCTCTTAATCCTCACAATAGCCTTAAGAGTTAAGTTATTATCCTAATTTTTTAAGTGGGGAAACTGACTCACAGAGAGATTCAGTACCTTTTCCAAAAATCACAGAGCTAAGAAATGACAGAACCAGGATTTAAAATCTGGCAGTGTGGCTCTACAATCTGCTTTGAACTTTAACATGATATGTACAAAGCCTGAAGCAACTTCTCAGTACTGTATTTAAGAGGGTATAGCAATGTAAGTCTTCCTAAATCAATAATTTATAAATGAAACAGCTTAAAAGACTTCCAAGTTTCAATCTTACGATATTTGTTTATCACACAAATCGATATACCTAAACTCATCTATATAAATTATGTCCTGTAGTAAGAAGAAAAAGAGGAAAGATAAGAAGAGAAAAAGAGAAGAAGATGAAGAAACCCAGTTTGATATGTTGGTGAGTCAGTTTTCAGTGCTTTATTCTGAAAAATAGTTAACATTTCTTGAGATCTCATTGAAAATATTTTCCTAGTTAGAAATTTATGATGCATTCATATTTGTCTTAAAGTGCTTAAGTATTACCTACAGTTGTAAATTCCATTTATTCTTTAGCACAGTAGATGCTACCGATGCCTTTACTTCATTATCAGAACAGAGCACAGGAGAGAAGAATTACAACTCTCTGACTTAGTAGGCACCATTAGACTGCTTAATAGCTGGAGATTCTGATACATAATTTTAAAGGCTTAATGTAAATGTTATTCAACCAAATATATTTTACAAGTTATTTTCTTTGAACATGTATACATTTTAGTTGTAGAAGTCAGTTGTCTCTTAAACGAAGTATCTTCACAGGAAAAATCATTATTTTGTGAACTCTGAAATGAATGAAAATTTTAAATACAATATCAGGGTAGCCTGTAAATGATACTAGAAATAAACTGACCCAAACACACTTAACCAGCCTGTTTTCCGTTTAGCTGTTTCCATGCTTTTTTTTTCTGTTTTAAAACTTGGCAAATTGCATTTTGAATCTTGATAAATTATGGTAGCTTAAAAATATATAAAATATGAAATGGTATAAAGCTAATGTTCTGGAAGAATCATTGCTTTTGAAATGGCAAATCAACAATTCTAAAATTAGGGTATATATCTAGGGTAGATATGTAGATGTGGAATTGCTGTGTCAAAGGATATGTGAATGTTTAACTATATAAGAAACTGCCAAAAATTTTCTAAAGTGGTTGTGCCATTTTACCCTCCCACCAAGAATGAATTAGTTCTCCAGTTACATCCTTGTCAAAAGTTGATGGTGTTGTCAGTCTTTTCTCCCAGTCTGAGTTTTTCCTTTTCAGTTTCTCAATGGTGGTTTTTGGATGGACAGCTTTTTTTTTTTTTTTTTTTTTTTTTTTTGAGACGGAGTCTCACTCTGTCGCCCAGGCTGGAGGGCAGTGGCGCAATCTCGGTTCACTGCAAGCTCCACCTCCCAGGTTCATGCCATTCTCCTTCCTCAGCCTCCCAAGTAGCTGGGACTACAGGCACCCACCACCACGCCCAGCTAATTTTTTGTGTTTTTAGTAGTGACAGGGTTTCACCATGTTAGCCAGGATGGTCAGAAGCTTTTAATTTTTATAAAGCTTAGTTTATTTTTTTCTTTTATGGTTACTACCTTATCTCTTTGATCTAAGAGATCTTTGCTTACCCCAAAGTCAGGAAAATATTCTACGTTGTCTTTTAGAGGCATCATTGTTTTAGATTTTACATTACATCTGTCATTAATCTCAAATTAATTTATGGCATGGTGTGAGTTTGGTTTCAAAACATACTTTTTTTTTTTAACATCTTGATAGCCATTTGTGCCAGCACCACTGGTGTTTCCTTTTTCCATTAATCCAGTTTCGTGTCTTCATAAAAAATCAATTATCTTTCTATGTATTGGTCTATTTCTGGACCCTGTTCTATCGATTGTCTGTTTTTCTTTTGGTATATTTCTCTTGATTGCTATAATTTCATGAAGTCTTGAGATCAGGTAGTGTGTATCCTCCAACTTTGTACTTACTATTAGTTTATTAATTTCTACAGTGAAGCCTGTTGGATTTTCTCAGAGAATTGTATTGAGTCCAGATCATTTGGGGGAGAATCAATATCTTAATATTGGGCCTCAATATTTCATAATTTTCAATGTAGTAGTCTTGCATGCCTGTTTAAAAATTTATTCTTAAGTATTTTATAATTTTACACTACTGTCAGTAGAACTTTTGAATTTCATTTTCCGGTTGTCTGCTGTTAGTATGTAGATATACAATTGATTTTTGTATAGTGACTTTGTAGTCTCATAAGTCTGTTTCACTTATTACTTCTAGTGGTTTGTTTATATAGAATACTAAGAAATTTGCAATTATGTTTCCTGTGACTATCATTTTACTTCTTTCTTTCTAATCCTTATGTCTTGTCTTGCTTTTTATTGGTTTATTATACTGCCCAGGACTTCCATAGTGTTGAACATAAGTCACGAGAATGGGCATAATTGCATTGTTTCCAAGCTTAGGCAGAAAGCTTTCAGTAGTCCACCATATGGTATGGTGTCTGTAGGATCTACAGAGAAAACCTTTATCAAAATGAGGACATTCCTTTTAAACTTTGTTTCTTGGGAGTTTTTTATCATAACAATGTTTAATGCTGTCAAATGCCTCTTTCTGTGTCTGTTGAGATGATTATACAAATTTCTTCATTCTGCCAATGAATTACATTGGTTTCATTTTCAACTTTTAAACTAACTTTACATCCCTGAGATAAACCCCACTTGGTTGTGGTGCGTTGCCTTTTGGGATATTGCTAGATTTGATTTCTAGGTTTTGTTGTTGTTGTTGTTGTTGTTTTAAGATTTCTCTATTGGTGTTGATGGGAGATATTGAACTTTTGTATCCTTTTCTTGTAATGGCTTTATTTGATTTTGGTGTCAAGGCGATAGTGGGTGTCATAAAATTAGATGGGAAGTGCTGCCTCCTTCCCTGTTTTTGGAAATAGCTGTGTAAGATCGGCATGATTTCTTCTTTACATGTTTGATAGGATTTACCAGTGAAGTCATCTGAACCTAGAGGGTTTTGTTTGGTTTGGTTTTAATTTTTTGTGGGAGAATTAAGATTTTTTAAGAGATATTTTCAGATTTTTCTGTTGTCAGTTTTGGTAACTTGTGTCTTTTAGGAAAATTTCATTTCATCCAAGTTGTTGGATTTATTGTCATAAAATTGTTCAGAATATTCCTTTAATATCCTTTTAATGTCTGTAGAATCTAATCTGTATTGCAGTCTCTTCATATTGGTAATTTGTGTTTTTTCTATTTTTTCCTGGATCAGTCAGTCTAGCTGGAGGTTTATAAATTCTTTATAAGATCATTTATTTTAGATCATTAATGATCTTTTAGTACAGGGGTATTCAATCTTTTAGCTTCCCTGGACCACAGTCGAAGGAGAAGAATTGTCTTGGGCCACACATAGAATACACTAACGATAAGCTGATGAGCCAAAAACAAAAAAAAACAAAAAAATCTCATAAGGTTTCAAGAAAGTTTATGAATTTGTGTTGGGCTGCATTCAAAGCTGGCCTGGGCCACATGCAGTCCTCAGGATTTGACAAGCCTGTTTCAGTATTACTTATTTTCTCTTTTTTTCATTTTTTATTTCATTTATTTTCAGTGTTTTTTTTCCTCCCTTTAACTTATTTTCAGTTTACTTTGCTCTGTTTTATTGCTTCTTAAGAAGAGAGTTAGATCTCTTCATTCCACTTTAGTTTTAGTTATAGTCAACACATTTTGTTTTCATTTTCATTCCATTCAAAATATTATCTAGTTTTCCTTGTGATTTTTCTTTTCATGGACACTTGAGTTATTTCAAAGTGTATTGTTCTTAATTTCTACTACATAGAGATATTATAGGTATGTTATTGTTGCTGATTTCTAATTCATTTATAGTATAGTTGGAGAACATACTTTCTTAGTGAATTTCCACGTGCACTTGAAAAGAATGTGTATTCTGCAGATGTTGGTTCAGGGTTATTTTGTTTTTTTTTTTTTTTTTTTTTGGAGATGAAGTCTCCCTCTGTTGCCCAGCAGGCTGGAGTGCAGTGGCACAATCTCGGCTCACTGCAGCCTCCGCCTCCCAGGTTCAAGTGATTCTCCTGCCTCAGCCTCCGGAGGAGCTGGAATTACAGGCACCTGCCACCACGACTGGCTAATTTTTTTAATATTTTTAATACAGGCAGGGTTTCACCACGTTGGCCAAGCTGGTCTCAAACTCCTGACCTCAGGCGACCCACCCACCTCAGCCTTCCAAAGTGCTGGGATTACGGGCGTGAGCCATGACGCCCAGCGGTGCAGTATTTTTTACATATCAGTTAGATCAACTGGTGGAGCTTGTGACTATGCACATCTGTGTCCTTACTGCTTTTTTATTCATCCTACAATGTAATGAGAGTTATGTTAGAATCTCCAGCTGTAATTCTAGATCTGTCTACTTGAGCAGTTTTTGCTTAAAGTATTTTGAAGCTGTCATGTGTACGCATTTAGGATTGTTAAGTCTTCCTTATAAATTCAGTCTTTCATTTTCATAACATTTTAACCTTTATTTCTGTTAAATGTCTTGATGCCTAGTTAAATTATTTGACCACCCTTTTGCTCCTGTCAAGCCTGGGCCTTTGTTAGTTCGTGGTTATTTATTAGGTTTTTGCCTGTAGACTTAGACAGTGACTCTTACTCTAGGAAAGGCTCATCCTCATGGGCCTCAGCCACATGTTCTAAGTATACTTGGTGAGTTCTGTCCACTCTGCTGTGTCCCAAATTTGTGTGATTTCTGGCATCTCCAGTCAGCCCTCAGAAGTGCCAGCCACTCTGCAGAGGCCTTGTGGAGCCTGCCTACTGTATGCACTCCCCCCAGCCCTTGGCCCCAAACCTGCAGAGAACTTTTGCATACTCTTCCGAGGCCTCACCTGTATGTAGTTCCCTCTTCTCCAGTAACTTATTCTATAAACTCCAAACATGTTAGCACTGCAAGACTCTCAGCTTAGTGACAGTGACATTGATTCATTTTTGGAGGTCTCTAACTCTCTGCGTGGTCAAGAAACTGCCATTGGGCAGAAAACAGAAGTGTGTGTGAGATTTGCCTCCTGTGTTTTCCTGTTCTCAAATATCACAGTCCTGTTCTGCCTGTGTTCCAATCCCCGAAAACAGTTTTCTCAAATATTCTATCCAGTTTCAGTTTTCTCATTGGTCATGGTGGGAGGGCAAGTCCATCTTGGCTGGAAGAGGAAGTCCTTCTGCATCTTTTTCTCTTTGTCCTTCCACCTTCTTTTGCATTGTGGATTTTCTAAACTTGCCATAAAAGTAAGCATGTGCCTATTTGTGAAGGGAAATAAAAAAAACTTTTAATTTTTTGAAGCTGTTCTGTTGGTTCCTCACAAGGATCTGAAGGGATTGGTAAATAGGATGAAAGAAACTCTGTCTTTCACATGGAGAGTACCATGTGTGACATTAATAAAAATGAGCCTGTCTGTAAGCAAGGATTTTCACTGAGCTCTGCTAGATTCAGAAGCAATTGAACTTACAACATCGTAGTTTGCAAAACACAGATTTGATTTACCCAGGAACTAAAGCTAAGTCAGCTATGGGTTAATAGAAGGTCTGTGAAGGGTACTTAGACTACAGTAAGATTGGGGAAGAAAATTCCATTTCCAAATCTAAGATATATCATTCCTTTGTGCCAAGCACATAATGAAGGCAGAGATTTAAGGGGGTCCTTAGCACAGAAGCACTGGGTTAGTCAGAATGTGAGGTGAGCTGTCACACAGCCTTGATGCTAGAATGAGGGTGTCCTGGTAGTATCGAATCAGCCATGACACTGGTGCATCGGGCCAGTTTTTTTTGTTTGTTTGTTTTGTTTTTTGAGACAGGCTCTTGCTTTGTTGCTCAGGCTGGAGTGCAGTGACATGATCATGGCTCAGTGCACCCTCAACCTCGTAGGCTCAAGCAGTCCTCTCACCTTGGACTCCCGAGTAGCTGGGACCACAGCCTTGTACCACCATACCCAGCTAATTTCTTAATTTTTTTGTAGAGATGGGGGTCTCCTTTTGTTGCCTAGGCTGATTTTGAACTCTTGGGCTTAAATGATTCTCCTGCTTCCACCACTCAAAGTGCTGGATTACAGGCATGCCAGACATATGGAAACATTCTCAACTATGTGAAAATATGTGAAAAGCTTTGTTATGCATTGTGAGACAACACAGCGGGAATATTTCACCATCTGCCTAAGGTTTAAAAGGAAATAACTTTAAGCATGTGTCTAAATAGCAAGTAATGTTTTTGAGTGGATTCTCTTAAATTCAGCTTGGGCATCTGCAACATATACACAACTTGAGCTGTCACCTGACTTAGAGACAGGCAACTTCAGTGCCGACTGTTCTTAGGATCCACTGCTTTTTCACAGCTAAAACCCCCGAGTGGCACCGTTAAGTATTATGTTATATTACTTTAGTCGCTAAACATATAAGCATACCTCCAAAGGTTGAATGTAGGCCACTTGCAGAAAGTAGGCAGAATGCTCACATTTAATTCTTGATGATACTGTGTTTAGCTTTCTTATTCTTTGAAATCCCATTGAGAAAAAATACTGGCATCTGCTCAAAGTAATTTCTTTTTCAGTTGACAATATTATAAGTAATGTTATTGTATCATTTAGCTACTTGGACAGAGTGTGAAAATTTTGAGGAGCTTGTCTGCCAGAAATTTCTTCTTCATTTGCAAAACATTAATGAGATATTATATTTAAATGATTTTATTTAATATTAAGTGTACTTGGTGAACGTGGCATAGAACATACAAAATAAAACTAATTTAAAATTATTAACTGTTACATTTATAAGAAAGTCTTGCTAATCATAACACTCTTCATAATGATTCTGAATAAAGCATTATTTCTTTTACTGAAAACAATTGTAGCTATAACTCAATCATCTAAATTGTCATTAGTTTTATTGCTTTCTAATTGTCTTTAGCTGAAATTTTAATTTTGATTAATTTTCTTTTTCTCCATTGTTTTTGTGTGTGTGTGGAGGTAAAATATACAGAATATAGAATTTGCCAGTTTTCCTTTTTTTTTCTTTATTATTATTATACTTTAAGTTTTAGGGTACAAGTGTACAATGTGCAGGTTACTTACATATGTATACATGTGGCATGCTGGTGTGCTGCACCCAGTAACTCGTCATCTAGCATTAGGTATATCTCCCAATGCTATCCCTCCCCCCTCCCCCCACCCCACAACCGTCCCCAGAGTGTGATGTTCCCCTTCCTGTGTCCACGTGTTCTCATTGTTCAATTCCCACCTATGAGTGAGAATATGCGGTGTTTGGTTTTTTGTTCTTGTGATAGTTTACTAAGAATGATGATTTCCAATTTCATCCATGTCCCTACAAAGGACATGAACTCATCATTTTTTATGGCTGCATAGTGTTCCATGGTGTATATGTGCCACATTTTCTTAATCCAGTCTATCATTGTTGGACATTTGGGCTGGTTCCAAGTCTTTGCTATTGTGAATAATGCCACAATAAACATACGTGTGCATGTGTCTTTATAGCAGCATGATTTATGGTCCTTTGGGTATATACCCAGTAATGGGATGGCTGGGTCAAATGGTATTTCTAGTTCTAGATCCCTGAGGAACTGCCACACCGACTTCCACAATGGTTGAACTAGTTTACAGTCCCACCAACAGTGTAGAAGTGTTCCTATTTCTCCACATCCTCTCCAGCACCTGCTGTTTCCTGACTTTTTAATGATCGCCATTCTAACTGGTATGACATGGTATCTCATTGTGGTTTTGATTTGCATTTCTCTGATGGCCAGTGATGGTGAGCATTTTTCCATGTGTTTTTTGGCTGCATAAATGTCTTCTTTTGAGAAGTGTCTGTTCATGTCCTTTGCCCACTTTTTGATGGGGTTGTTTGTTCTTTTCTTGTAAATTTGTTGGAGTTCATTGTAGATTCTGGATATTAGCCCTTTATCAGATGAGTAGGTTGCGAAAATTTTCTCCCATTTTGTAGGTTGCCTGTTCACTCTGGTGGTAGTTTCTTTTGCTTTGCAGAAGCTCTTTAGTTTCATTAGATCCCATTTGTCAATTTTGGCTTTTTGTTGCCATTGCTTTTGGTGTTTTAGACATGAAGTCCTTGCCCATGCCTATGTCCTGAATGGTAATGCCTAGGTTTTCTTCTAGGGTTTTTATGGTTTGAGGTCTAATATTTAAGTCTTTAATCCATCTTGAATTGATTTTTGTATAAGGTGTAAGGAAGGGATCCAGTTTCAGCTTTCTACATATGGCTAGCCAGTTTTCCCAGCACCATTTATTAAATAGGGAATCCTTTCCCTATTGCTTGTTTTTCTCAGGTTTGTCAAAGATCAGATAATTGTAGATACCCGGCGTTATTTCTGAGGGCTCTGTTCTGTTCCATTGATCTATATCTCTGTTTTGGTACCAGTACCATGCTGTTTTGGTTACTGTCGCCTTGTAGTATAGTTTGAAGTCAGGTAGTGTGATGCCTCCAGCTTTGTTCTTTTGGCTCAAGATTGACTTGGTGATGCGGGATCTTTTTTGGTTCCATATGAACTTTAAAGTAGTTTTTTCCAATTCTGTGAAGAAAGTCATTGGCAGCTTGATGGTGATGGCATTGAATCTGTAAATTACCTTGGGCAGTATGGCCATTTTCACGATATTGATTCTTCCTACCCATGAGCATGGAATGTTCTTCCATTTGTTTGTATCCTCTTTTATTTCCTTGAGCAGTGGTTTGTAGTTCTCCTTGAAGAAGGACCTCTTCAAGGAGAATTTGCCAGTTTTACTATTTTTACGTGTACACTTCAGTGGCATTTAAATACATGCACCGTTTTACCTTCCCACCAGCATTGCACAAGGTTTCAGTTTCTCCACATCCTGCCCAACATTTGTTTTTCTGCTTTTCTTGGTTTCTGTTTTTTGTTTGTTTTGATAATAGCATTCTAATGGGTGTGAAGTGGTATTGCATTATGATTTTGATTCATATTTCCCTAGTGACTAGTGATGTTGAGCATCTTTTCGAGTGCTTATTGGCCATTTGTATATCATCTTTGGAACAATGTCCGTGTATATCCTTTGCCCATGTATATCCTTTGAATTGTGGTATTTGTCTTTTTGGAGTTCTCTATCTAGTCTGGATATTAATTCCTTATATTGTATATAGTTTACAAATATTTTCTCCATTCTCTGGGTTGCCTTTTACTCTGTTGACAGTGGTTCTTGATGCACAAAAGTTTTTAATTCTGATGAAGTCCAGTTTGTCTGTGTTTTCTTTTGTTGCCTGTGCCTTTGATGTTCTATATAAGAAATCATTGCCAAATTCATTGTCGTGAAGCTTTTCCCAGTTTCTTCTAAAAGTTTTGTAACTTTAGCTCTTACATTTAGGTCTTCGGTCTATTTTAAGTTACTTTTTGTGTTTGGTGTTAGATAAGGGTCCAACTTCATTTTAGCTGAAATTTTATGTATTTTAAAATTGATTATGAAAAGCATGAAATGTTTAGTTGAATAGAAAATTTTGTGCAGTGGAATTAACTGAAACTTTAAAACCTTTTTATTATGGAAATATCCAAACTAATCCATACATAGAAGAATATAATGAGTCCCCCATGTGCCCAGACCCCAGCATTAATTATCAATATTTTGCCAATCTCGTTTCATTTACGTACACACCCCCATACACGTTTTTTCCAAGAAAATTTTAAGTAAAATCACAGATATTACGTCATTTTACCCATAAGTACATAAATGTACATTTCTTAATGCAGTATGTCTTTCTCTCATCACCTCTTTTGTTCTTTACTTTTATACATTATACTATGTCATTATCAGACCTTGTAAAATTAACAAGAATTCCTTAATATGGCATATCCAGTTAATGATTGACTCATTTCTACTCTAGTTAAAGTACAATTTAGGAGAAGGTTTGAGGATATTTTTTCACATTAAGATGTAAACTTTTATAACAACTGCTAAAATAATTGTTGCTAGAGTCTAACATTTCTATTGGCAAATTGGAAATTAGTATACATAGACATAGATTCTGCTCATTTTGCTTTCAATCTAAAATCGTAGTTAAGATTACTGGCCGGGTGTGGTGGCTCACACCTGTAATCCCAGCACTTTGGGAGGCAAAGGCGGGTGGATCACGAGGTCAGGAGTTCAAGACCAGCCTGGCCAATGTGGTGAAATCCCGTCTCTACTAAAAATACAAAAAAAAATTATTCAGGTATGGTGGCAGGCTCTTGTAACTGCAGCTACTCGGGAAGATGAGACAGAGAATTGTTTGAACCCAGGAGGCAGAGGTCGCAGTGAGCCAAGACCGCGTCACTGCACTCCAGCCTGGGTGACAGAGCAAGACTCCATCTCAAAAAAAAAAAGATTACTATGCTAGAAAGTCTTCCTGTAGAGGCATTTTTAAGAAGCATTATCGTAGGCATTGCCTCTGGAAAGCAGGCATGAATAGATGGCTGGGGTCTATCATGAGAGAGACTGTTCTCCATATATCAATTTTACCCTCACATGTTGCCTTTTGTTTTGTTTTGGTCTTTTTTTGAGACAGGACCTTGTTCTGTCACTCAGGCTAGAGTGCAGTGGCGTGATCATAGCTCACTATAACCTTGAACTCCTGGGCTCAAGTGATCCCCTTTCACAGCTCCCCGAGTAGCTGGGATTACAGGCATGCACCCCCATGCCTGGCTGTATGTTGCTATTGTGTATTTTAAAAACCTAATCCTGACTCTGCTGGTAGTCGCAGGAATCTGTGCACATACATGCAAACAAGTACACGTAAAACTGGTGAAATCTGAATAAGCTTCATGGATTATATCAATGTCAGTTTCCTGATTCTAACAATGTGTGATACTTATGCAAGATGTCATCATTGAGACAAAGTGAGTGAAGGATATGTGAGATCTTTGTAGTATTTCTTACGACTGCAAAATAAAGTTTTTAAAACTAAGTTATAATAACAAAGAACTCTGTGTCAAAACTAAAATATAAAGTTGAAATATCAATTTTATTTTTTAGGAATCTGGTGGACAGTAATAAACTTTGGTGGAATTTCAGGAACCATAGCCATTGAAATGGATGAGGGAACCTATATACATGCACTCGACAATGGTCTTTTTACCCTGGGAGCTCCACACAAAGAAAGTTTGTGTTTGGAAGGGAAGATCCTGCCACAAGTGTAGATTTTAGGACATTCATTCACTTAGGCCAAACTCTAACTAGTCTCAAACATTTTCCAAATAAATGGAACCATTGCATTTGACACTTCCATTTTTTAATTCCTTAATATTTACCAGCCATTGGGAAGTCCCTCTTTTTAATATAAGCATTTGAAAACATTCCATATAGTTCCATAAGAGTATCTTTGGAAATCAAAACAATATGAATAATTAAAATAGTAAGTGGAAAGAAAAAAGAAAACCTATTTGAGTCAAACATCTTTGAATTTCTTTTTTATTCAGACCTATTACCAAAACTAACCTGGGTGCATTTAACAATTTGAAGTTTCCTCATTTTCTTTAGCCCTTTAGAGGAAACACTAATGAGATATGAAGTAATTAGAAGATAAAAAGCAGTATCATTTGGTCAGCAAGGCCATCCATTGAATAAATGAAAGCGTTTAGCTTTTTTAAATAAGTGCTTATTTATGACTGTATTTTAAAACATAAAGAGAATCTATCTCGAAAGTTATTAAATAAGCATTATATCACCCTGTCTTACTCAGTGTATAAAATTAGCACTGTAGTTAAAAGAAGGTAAAATAGATCTTGATTCCAAAGATACAGTATTACAGTGACATCAGTATATCTGAATATTCTTACATTTAATTGCAGAAGAAAATAGCCACATTTTTTAAAGCAAAATAATGTCTTTATATTTATAGCAAATGTCAAATTTATATTCAAAAGTTTTTTCTCCAATAGTTGATGAGGGCTCTAGTCCTCCAGAGCAGTTTACGGCTGTCAAATTATCTGATTCCAGGTGAGCTTATGTTGTAATATAATTAGTAACCAGTTATTTTAAAAATTTAATTGTATTCATTAAAAATTTTAGTATCTGTCTTAAGCCCACGGTAATTTTGATATAAAAAACAAAATAGCTTTTTTGAAAAGTAGATTTTGTGATCTACTTTTAGTGGATTTCCTATCAATATATAATGCTAGGCTGGAAAAAAGATATGTAAGTTAAAAAATGAAGATTAATAATTTCACACACCAAGTAAGATAGATTAAAAAATAAATCAAATAGTACAAAACCTGGTTCACTGTTGCTATGATATTTAAACTCACTGTTTGGAAGTCTAAAGACAAACAGGAAGACTAAAAAAAGGAATATTGTTGAAACCAGCAGAGAATGTTACAGCATCATAACGACCAAAAGAATATTTTTACTCACTATTTTTACAGTCATTTTATAAAGTAGCCTTTTTTATTCTCACCTTGTGCAGAAGTATAGAATGATTCTTTGGGTAAAACATACTGAAAGTGAATTTACATATTTTAGTAATTGGTTACATCGACATGATAATGATTTCTGTTATATAATCATTAACGTATAAAGGAGTAAAAGTCAATTCTGGCATCCAAGGAGATTCTTGGTAAGGTAAAAGAAATCATAATTTTAAAAAATCACATTAAGATGATTATTTCTATACTTTCTTTGGAAGTCTGATAAGTAGAGTGAAAGACAAAGAATAAAAGCAGAGGAAGAAAAAATTCAATAGTTTTAAACTGCTTTACAATTATAAACAAAAAAGGATTATAAAGAAAATTAACTGACAAATGAGGAAAATATTTGCAACAATCTTAATAGGCAGTGAGTTCTTAATCTTCATATGTATCTTGTATAAAATTCATAGCACTGAAGACCCCAGTAGAAAAATTGCGAACAATAAGATCTGAATAGAAAAGTGGACAAGGCACATTACCAGATAATCTAAAAACTAAAAAGGAAAGGAAAAGAAAAACAATTGTTATTCTAGTTAACTACTAAAATGCAAATTAATAGGATACTGTTTTTTTCCATATCAGGTTTTCAAGTATTTTTTTAGAGTCATAATGTTTAAAAAAAAAATCCATGATACAAAACATACTGTGTTAATTTGAGGTGAGAATGTAAATGGAAGCAGCATTTTCTGGAAAACAGTTTGATGACATAAAGTTTTAGTAATTTATTATTGAAGTTTATAACTAAAGAGGTATAATTGAAGAATGATGAATTTTGAAAATATTTGTTATGTAATATATAAGGTACAATGTTTATATTAAAAAAGCAAAATATAAAACTAAATTTAAAACTGCACTGTCCAATATGGCAACAACTAGTCACATGTAGCTTTTTTTTTTTTTTTTTTGGAAGGCACAGAGTCTCACTCTGTCACCCAGGCTGGAGGGCAGTGGTGTGAACATAGTTCACTATAACCTCAAATTTCTGGGCTCCAAGCACTCCTCCTGCATCAGCCTCCCAAGTAGCTGGTATTACGTGTGCACACCACCATGCCCAGCTAACTTTTTAAATTTTTTATAGAGATGGGGTCTCACTATGTTGTCCAGGCTGATCTTGAACTTCTTGCCTCAAGCAATTCTCCCATTGCCTTCCCAAAACACAGATTACAGTCTTGAGTCACCACTCAGCCACATGCATCTTTTGAACACTTGGAATATGTCCAGTCTGGAATTTTAGATATGTACACACCCACACACATACACATGTCCTGTTTTGATGTCCTATAATTAATTTTCTCTCAGTTTTTAACTTTTATCTATCTTATTAATGTACAGAATCGCCCTGAAATCTGGCTATAGAAAATATCTTGGTATAAATTCAGATGAACTTCTTATTGGGCGTTCAGATGCAGTTGAACCAAGAGAACAATAGGAACCAGTCTTTCAAAATATAAGTGCTGTTATTGTTTATAAAAACTTCCTGTCAGTTTAACAGAAAGTCTGTAACAGTCAATCATAATATATTTAAAAAGAAAAAGTAGGATGCAATAGTATAATACATTAAATTGGAATAAATCAGTAAGAACATAGAGCCTTAAAGAGATCTCAAAATATAGTGCAACAAAAATAGCATTAGTACTTTTGCCCACAATTATTTCTGTATACCCTTAGTGCCCGATATGGATCTCATTTCCATTGAAGAACCAGTCAATTTTAGGTCACAGAGTAGGAAAACAGAATAGTTCCTAAGTATCTTCCTTGTAGCAGAAATCATGGATGCTTTCAGAAACATTACAGACTGTAAGAGAACAGTGGAGCTAGCTAAGAACAAGTTGTGACAATTTGCGTATAAAATATAAATAATAATAGTTCATTGAAGTAAATTATCTCTAAAAAACTTTCAGTTCATAAGCTTAAAATAGTGTATGAAAAGATAGTTTTAATATAAGAAGAAAAAAGATAGTATACTAATTCTTAATTTTAGTAAGTAGACAATTGTAGTATATGGATGTTTTGTTAAATCTTTGTTGATACAGAATACATGATTTCCTTTTTCTGTGTGAGAAGTAAAGATTGAACAAAAAATATGTGAGTGCTAAACTGTCTTTAAAAAGTAGATAACTATATCAAAAACAGTAAGGACCAGTGGGTACCACGCAGAACAAGCAAATAGAAGATAAGCTCAGCCTTTGAGTAGCAGCTTTGGTAGTATACAATAATGAACTGAAAATAGGAACTCAGCAGTGTTTTCTAAGACGACAGATTAAAAAAACATCCCACCAGAAAGAAGTAATCACTTAGACTAATTTCCTCATCCCCTAGGATAAAATCTTAAGTCAGTGACTTGAAAACTATTTTGACCCAATCCATTGACAAATGCAGCACACACATATGCATAACTGAAGCAAGAGTTGTACTTAACAATACTTACTTATCCATGTGTTATACACCTTGATATTTCTTATTCTCTTTTACCCCTTCCTCTGTGTGTCTGTGTGTATTCCTTTTCCCCCCAGCCCACCCAATACCGTTCAGGAAACACTACATTGATTTCATTACCTGTTAATGTGTTGCAACCCCTTTGAGATGATCCTACTAGTTGTGATGAGATGTTTCTAATAAAAGTTACACCAGTAGAAAATGCCAATATTTCATAAGGCCAGGATGATGACTTAGATAGTACTAATAATACAACACTTTAGGAAAGTTCATTTCATTTTATTTTTAGGAAGGACACTAAGTTTCAAAAATTTAAATTTAAATGAAAGAGGGTCTTAAAACTCTATTTCAAAAAGGACTCAGCTGAATAATCTGTGGCACAGGTTTAAATCGCCTTGGACCAGACCACCATGTTCCAGGGCTCACCAGGAGCCATCCAGATGAGAGACCACCCAGCCCTTGGGACTTGACTAAGAAATTAAATCCATGTTATCAGCACATTTTTAACTGGATGTGATATAAGTTTAACATATTTTGTAATCATTGTATTTATAAATATTTTGTCTAAACGTTATGGTATTCCAAGTTTTCCAAAAGAATCAACCAAATACAAGTTATAAATAAACGTTATATTTGTTACGGGAGTTAAGCTAACCAAATTTGTAACCCAGATTTAGATACACAAGAAAATCAGTTTTTAAAGTTTTGTTTAATAGAAAGCAGTGTAATACATCAAACATTAAACAACTAAACATGTATATGAATATTTATTTTCACACACAAAAGTCACTCAGACATTGATTCTTAAATTCAAAACACCAAAGGCATTGTATATACCTTTTCATGTTTTCTAATTGTGAAGAAAATAATTTTTATTTAAAATGTTAATATTTGAATAAAGTATGCATTCATAATTATGTTCTTGTCTTTAAAGTTAATTTTTCAAACAGAACTAAATCAGTTTTATCTTCAGTAGATCTTTTAGAAAGGAAGCAATCCTACCTCATCTAATTAGAATTTAGTCCGGCCGGGCGCGGTGGCTCACGCCTGTAATCCCAGCACTTTGGGAGGCCGAGGCGGGCGGATCACGAGGTCAGGAGATCGAGACCATCCTGGCTAAAACGGTGAAACCCCGTCTCTACTAAAAATACAAAAAATTAGCCGGGCGTAGTGGCGGGCGCCTGTAGTCCCAGCTACTTGGGAGGCTGAGGCAGGAGAATGGCGTGAACCCGGGAGGCGGAGCTTGCAGTGAGCCGAGATCCCGCCACTGCACTCCAGCCTGGGCGACAGAGCGAGACTCCGTCTCAAAAAAAAAAAAAAGAATTTAGTCCTACTAGGAAGATACATTACAAATGTTTATTGTGGTAATCTTTGAATAGTAAAATGAAAGGTGATTTTGGTTTCCTTTTCTATATGTTCTTGTATTATATTTTTCAGGTTTTTCTCTAAGTTCTTTTCTGTGATTTTTAAATCAGGGAGGAAAAATTAATTCAGTCTAAACATTTAATGTTTCTTCCACAAGAAGTATCCTCATGGCTATTTTGTTATTTTGTTTCACTTAAGGGAAAGTGGCTTTGTTGGCCTCAAATAGCTGCTTTATTAGATGTAATGAAGCAGGGGACATAGAAGCAAAAAGTAAAACAGCAGAAGAAGAAATGATCAAGGTGATGATGACATTTTATACAGATGACTGCATTCACACATGCGATGTGACTGTATCTCTTTAAAATGTTAAGTCATCATTTACTGTCACTTTAAAGATTTAGTTAATAGCTTTTTATAATGTGGTGTTTCAAATAGACTCATTTTAAATTATAAATCCCATAGTTGATGGCTTGTTTATACAATGTGTTAGAGAAATCAGTGCATCTAGGAGCTATCTTGCCATTATCTCCATGGATTAGTATCTTTTTCTGGTAGTTCCACATGCTCTTTTTAAGCTTTCATTTTCTTGTTTTCTTGCTTGTATTTTAAAATCTGATTTTTTAAATAGATAACATGTACATGTGGTCCAACATTTTTAAATAAAAGCATATAAAGATGAAGATACATGCCTGCCATGCATCTTACTCACCTGTGTCCCAGCTCCTGTTCCTCATTCCCTTTGTTTTGTTTTTTTCATAGCCTCCTAAAGTTTCTTTATAAACATATGAATATATTTATAATTTTCAACTGTTTTACACTAAAGACAACCTCCTCTATAGTCTTCTCGACTTTGATTTTTTTTTCCTTAAAATTGTATCTTGGAGAGTTTTCTACTATTAGTTTGAATGTAGAAAGTTTTCTCTTTGTCTTGCTTTTCCTCTCTTTCTCTCTCTCTCTTTTTTAACAGCCACATAAAATTCCATTTTAGGGATGTACCTTAATTCATTTAGTCTTTTGTAGATGGAAATTTAGGCTGTTTCAAGTCTTTTGCTCTTATAAACAGTGCTGCAGTACATAACATTGAATATGCATCAATTTGTAGATGTGTGGGTGGACCTGAAGATAAATTTCCAGAAGCAGAATTACCAGGTCGGGGTATACGCGTTTGTATTTACATAATGCTTGAGCTTCTGTGATGATAATCACTCTATGAAACATAAAAAATCATAGCAGAACTTCTGGGGCCTTAGCCCTTACATTTTAAAAATATTTTTATTAATAGTACCTGTCTTCTTTGCATTAGGAGAAACATGAATCACATAAAACATGGTTTTTATTTTATTTTTAAAATTCGTGTGCATCACTAATCTGGAAATAAAAGTTCCTTATTCCAGGCTAAATTCCCTCATCCATAGTCACATGTGTTATCCATTGCACCAGTGGCCTGTGCCCTCCCTAATCTTACTCTTTGTTTTACATCATTGTAAAAGTTACACAGACATCTTCATATCAAGGTGAAATTCCAAATAATACTGTTAATATAACCTAGATAAATCAGGTAGTTAATTGGAACTTGATGAAAACATTTAAGGATTAATTTTTTAGCCACTGATCTTTAATGATATACATATACCAGGATGTGTCTAAAGAATAACTCCCCCCTTCTTGACAAATGGTTTTTCTGTGTCTTGGCATTCCATCGCAGTACTGAGCAAAGGCACTGATCTTTAATGATAAACATATACCAGGATGTGTCTAAAGAATAACTCCCCCCTTCTTGACACATGGCTTTTCTGTGTCTTGGCATTCCATCCCAGTACTGAGCATCCAGAACCTTACTTTGTTTGTCTCTGTTGGGAATCACAGGTTGCATCCAGTCTGACCCAGATTTGCTCTGTAAGGCATTGTGGGGGCCAGAGTGGAAGGCTCTAAGAGAGGGGGCAAATGCCTTTTCTAAAATGCCCTTCATTCTTATAATTAAAGCATAAAAATTTATGTTACATTTTTCTCTACTACCAATGTAATTTAAAAGCATCTATCAATTCTCTGTACGTGCTTCATGTTATATTTCCAGTCATATGTTTGATTTTCTTTTTAGAATAGTCTTGATTTCAGATAATTTCAAATCTAAAGCTCAAACAATTTCAATCTAAAATGTAGGTATTTTCTTACAGTTAGAGAAGTGAAATGTTATATTTTTTCGTTGCATGCATCCGGCACATGCGTTGTAGTCTTGAATTTCCATAATGCTCCTGTGAGGTGGATGTGAGCTCAGCCTTACAGACAGGAAGACAGCCTCTGACCCTCCTTACATCCTCGTGGTTTTTGTCAGTCAGTTCATGGAAATCACAGTGATTTCAAGGTGTGGTAAGACAGGATGTGTACCCAGGCCCAGCTGACTCCAGAGGCCACTCTCAGTATTTCATAGCACATTGCTTCTCAGGAAACAGATCATTGGGGAAATGCGGATGGGTTTGTGACTTACATTTAATTTTATTTATTTACATTTTATCGCATCATGTTTAAATTATTTTTCATCTGGATATCATCACAAAAGTGTTACTGAAGGCAACAATTGCAAATATATGTGCAGTGCTTTGCACTTATACAAAGATACAAAGATATTTACACAAAGGTTGCATTTTTCATGATTTAAAGCAATTTTCAGATGAAATACAAAGTTTTCTGGGTCTTTTTGGTTCGTCAAGTACTTGGAAGCTCTGAACAGTGATTATTTAGGACTCTTTTTGTACCATTTAATTGCAGGCTGTCCTAATCTCTGTCAGCCCTTCACCTTTATGACCTTACCTTGTCTACCAGAACACAGACCCCTCTTACTAAAGGTAGCATTGTGCTACAGGCCCTAGCAGGGAATGTTTTCAAGTCTGGGAACCCTCTAATCAAAACTGTCACAAAGATGTCATTGGCACAAACACGTTATTTGTCATCACTTTCTAAGCAGCCCTGGAACTGGACTCTGGCCACAGAGATCCCTTAGGAGACATGAGTCCTTACCATTGCCAATTGCCTGTTCTGTGGGCAATCCTAATTGTTGAATGCAGATTAATTAACTTATGACATGTGATAGTAAACATCTATCCAAACTTAGGAGGATATAAGAAGCTAGTAAAAGAGGTGGGTTCCAATTAATTGAAAACAAGTTGTGTAATGTTAAAAGTTTTAATACTTTAGTAATAGTCTGTGCAATGTAAAATAGCTATTAAGCTTTTAATCTGATCAAATGAACACTTGTCTACTAGGGATAATTTGATCCCAGTGTATTCACTTGGAGAACAAAATTAAATTAATGATTTCTTTATTGCCTAGCAGGATCTGATGTGTAAAATGTTTCTGAAATAATTTTGTCTGTAGTGTTTCTGACACAAGGGCTGTGGAGAAAGCATGTGATAGCACTTACTCATATAGATTATATATATGAAGTAAAAACACATGGCCAGAACCTGTCTTTTTCTGAATATATTTGCTCAGTTAATTTTTTCTTCTGCATAAGAAATCATCTCGAATGTTCTTATGTGATGCGTAAAGTGGTGAAGGTGGAAGATAAACATATAACCCATTGAATTCTCTTTTCCAATATCTAGATTAGATCCTGTGCTGAAAGAGAAACCAAGAAAAAAGATGACATTCCAGAAGAATACAAAGGAAATGTAAAACAATGTGAAATCAATTATGTGTATGTATGCTTTTCCTTTTAGACCTACGGATTTGACAGTGAAGTGCTTCTCAAAGTGCTTTCAAAATAAATTACCTAATTAGCTGGGGATGGTGATGCATGCCTGTAGGCCCAGCTACACGGAAGGCTGAGACAGGAGGATTGAGCCCAGGAGTTCAAGGCTGCAGTGAGCTCTGATCACCACTGCATTCCAGCCTGGGTGACAGAGCAAGACCCTGTCTGAAAAAATGAAAACTGATGGACAAGAAGAGGTAACACAATGTAGCCTCTAGGACAGAGCACTGAGCTAAATGCTTTTCTCTTCTTGAGGGTTCAGTTTTCCTAATCATCCTACCAGCTCCCAAAGGTAGTCACTCGGGTTAGTCAATCTCTCTATTCATTCATAGAATGGGCCTGATGCCAGTCAAAGGCTGTGCTATGGCCAGGACACAGGGGACTCCAGCCAGCATGCCTTAATAGAAGTGGGGCCTTCTGCTACCCAGCCAATGAGTGGCCCTCCTCTTGAGAGGTTATGAAGGTCATCTTTGTTGTTCAGAAGCTCCAGCTTATTAAAAAAAATACAATTAGACTTTTTTTTTTCTCCCCCAAGACAGAGTCTAACTCTGTCCCCCAGACTGGAGTGTAGTGCCATGATCTCGGCTCATCGCATCCGCCACCTCCCAGGTTCATGTGATTGTCCTGCCTCAGCCTCCCGAGTAGCTGGGACTACAGGCGCGCACCACTGCACTCGGCTAATTTTTGTATTTTTAGTAGAGATGGGGTTTCACCATGTTGGCCAGGCTGTTCTCGAACTCCTGACCTCGAGTGATCCGCCTGCCTTGGCCTCCCAAAGTCCTGGGATTGCTGTCATGAGCCACTGTGCCTGGCCTACAATTAGACCTTTTTAATAAGTGAAAAAGAAATTAACAGTATTTACAAATTTAATAGTAAATATGTATAATCAGAGTTTGAGGTATTTTTCAATGAAGACATTTTCTTTGCAGAAAGAAATTTCAGAGCTTCCAAGACCAAAAACTTAAAATAAGTAAAGAAGAGAGTAAAATTCTTAAAAAAGGCTCAGAAAGATGGATTTTTGCATGAGACGCTTCTGGACAGGTAGCTATTTATTTACTTATTTTCACTATTTTCAGTAGCCAATAGAAATGGCATGTAGAAAACCTATATTCTCTTAAATTACTGTAGTTTTCACATTTTTGTCTTTATTTCTAATTTATGAGTGTGGCAATATTACCTAGAGAGGACATCATGAGTTTGGGAAAAGACTGTCAAGAAAGAATATCTAAAAATTATAACCGATTCTAAGTATATATTTTAAGAAATTCAGGTTTGACTGTATCTACTTCATAAATTTATCATTATATTTTTATAACTATTAGAACCAGAGTTAGAAAGAAGCAGTTTGACTAATATAAAAATTATGTGGATTCTGTTAGAGTAGTTCAGGTTCCTTAAAATAAGCATAGATCAACTAAAAAACTAAGTATAAAAGCTAAACAAGTGAAATTGAAGCAGTTTTATTGTAAGATTTGGAAGAGTGCAGGATGTTTATCATAGCACATTATTAATATTTATTACTCTTCCTATGTAGATAAGTAATGTCCTAGATTTACAACATAGAAAAACAGGTAGAGACGTTTAGCTGTGAGTGTACAAGTATAAATCAATTAAGTGCCAGATTTTGATAATCACCAGCTGCTCATTCAAGTCCTATGTTGCAAAGTTAGTCTTACGCTTTTTTTACATTACTTGATAAAGGCAATGTTTAATTACATATTTCCTATTAACTAGCTGGTAGAGTTCATACCTAAAGTCAGTAAATAATGTTAAGAATTTTTTCCAGCTGAGCAAATGAGTATGTATCTAGTTGTAAGAAATCAAGAAGAGGATATAAAATATAATCAGGATGTGGACTCTAAAACGAAATAACCTCTATGTCCTGTAACTTTTATCACTCGTAATAATACAGCATTCTCACCCTATTAAATGGAAATTTAAAGCACCTTTAAATTCCAGAATAATTAAAATTGCTATTTGGATTGAAAAAGCCCTTAGGCAACATTTATTGAATATTAGGAAATAACTTTTATAAGATTAGAATCCATTTTTTATAGAAACAAAATTTGAAAGTATACATATTTTAATATAAGTGTTGTGGTAATACAGTAACCAAAATTGAACACACAGTTTTAAAGCTTTTTATATTTAGTAGCAGTTGAATATATATGCCATGTTTTACATAGATTAATTTTACTATTTTTCTTTATTTAAACAAGAGAACCAAATTGAAAGCCAACAGATACTGCAAATGACTGGAATTTTTGTTTCTGCCTTATCTTTTTGTGTTTTTTTTCTGAATAAAATATTCAGAGGAAATGCTTTTACAGAGTTCTTGAGTTGTTGTGAAATTATTATTTAGCTAGTACCTAGTTTAACCAGGATTAAACAAGTTTAATCAGGATTCTTCATGGATGTACTTTTTAGCTAACTACAGTTTTTCACATGGAAATGAAACTTACAGTTCACACTTAACATACCACAGAATTTTTTTCTGGATTTCCTGTCCTGAAGCATGAAGTGTAGTAGAAACCAATTCTTCCTGCGCTACTTGTGGAATCTTTCTTACTGGATCATAATCTTACTTACTTTATACAATAGATGCTTAATCAGTGCCTTTAATAGGAAGTTAGAAACTCCCAATCCAATCAACAAGGCTTTGATTCTACCTCCTAAGTAGTATCCAGATCGCAGACAATCCAAATATCAGAACTAGGGGGCCGGGCAGAGAGGACAAATCATCTATTAGGGAGTGGGACAGAAAGTAGGAACATTACAAAGGAGCAAGTAGTCTCAGAACAGAGGGGAGAGTAGTACTGGGAAAACTCCCTACTGAGGACAGGTTTGCCACAGTGGATATGTATGTGATGCTTTTGTCCTCGTGGGCTGGAATGGAAGCTGATAAAGTTCAGACGCTACGTGTTGCTTAGGTCTGCTTTGTTGAAGCCTGTCTTTTTCAGAGTTCCTAAACACAATATTCCCGTGGCATCTAATCCCAGTGAGTGCTCCAAATCCAGGCTGTGTATCAGATGCCACGGGAAATTCTGCCTCAGGACTGAGGTTGGTTCAAGCTTCTGGATGATGTCAAAAGTCCACGTTGTGTGCTGGCCTAACTTGAAAGACCCTATCTAGTTCTAGCCTTTAAATTCCTTCTGTCACCAAATCTGGAGTTACATGGCATCTGTACAAGCTAAGTAGCCGAGGCATGGGATCAGCCCTATAAAGGAGCTTCTGGAGCTTTTTTTGTAGGTCTAGCTTCAACTTGGCACTCCAGTTCCAATAGCTGGACTTTCTCTCATCGTGTGTGCTGATCCTTGGATTGGGAACAAAGTAACCACTCTGATCCCTCAAAGCAGTGGTTCCTGTTCCCAACTGGTGACTATTTTGCCTCCCAGGGAACATTTTTGGTTTTCCCAACTGGAATAAGGTGTTAGAGAGTAGAGGCTAGGGATGCTGTGAAGCATGTTGCAGAATCCTCTTCCGCCCAGAATGCTAACAGTGCCAAGGTTATGGAGCCTTCCCACCCAAGGGCTTGGCCTATTTCTTGCTTTTGCCAGCTCCCTAACCCTTAAACACAACAGTTCAAATCTATATGCATAAGCATCTCCTAGGGACCTGCACGTTTCCAATATCGACTACTGAGACCCATCCGTAGAGATGCAGGCTTAGGAGGTCTAGGATTGGGCTCAAAATTTGCATTTTAACAAGTACTCTAGGTCATTCTGAAGCAAGTGATACAAACCACAGAATGAGGAACACGCCTTCAGGAGACTGAATCTTGCTTCCCAACACTAGCTTGGTATCTGAGACCATCTGCCTGCTGACTGGCTTTCCTGGCACAAACATTCCGCATGTAGGCACAGTGTATTCCTGGACTCCATGTCAACCCGTTCACCCTTATGTTCCCTTGGTTCCTCTCCCCAGTCCAGCGAGCAGAACTGATTACAGATCTTGACAACAGAAGATACAGATTTAAAATAACTTGCCTGTTCCCGTGGACTTTATCCACTAGTGGAGGAGGACAAGTGGACAAGGGGAGAGGGTAGGTGGGGGCTCCTTCCCTATTCCTCCCATTCCACTTTATACAAACCCCAGCTAGACCACTGGGAGAGCAACGGAGGTTAAGAATGACTGCATCTAAATATTGTCATCTAGTCCACTCTTCTTCCATCTTGTACACAAGAATATCATGAGTTTTGCTTAAAGCACTACTGAAACCAAGATAAACTCTGGCTTGGCATGCCTCTGACAGATCAGTCTAGTAATCTTATCAAAACCAAGACTACCTAAAAGCACTAACCAAAGGAAAGCTCCCTCACCCCAACCTATGACTGCTCACATTTTTCAGATTGAATCATTTCAATTGTATTTTAAGGTTCATTGACTCTTCACCACCTCCAAGCTGCTCCTGAACACAACTGATTGTTATTTTTTAATTCTGAAAACTTTCTCACTTCTAGAATTTCCACTTGAGCCTTTGTTATTATTGTAGTTTCTTCTTCTCTGCTGTGATTTCCTATCCATTTATTTTATGGGTTTTTGGGGTTTTGATTTTAGTAAGAATTACAATAACTACTTTAAAAATCCACACTAATTCCAACATCTGGGTCATCGAGGTCAGTCTCTATTGATTGCCTTTTTCTTTGAATATGTTTCTTTATAAGTTTGATATAATGGGATTGAATTCTGAATATTGTAAAACTAGATTTTGTTTTGTTCCTCTGAAAATTTTGATAATTTTATGTTGTATTTGTTGTATTTTGTTTGATTGTTTTTTTCTATTGTATACTTTACAATATATTTTCCTCCAATGGTTTTAACGTTTCTATTTCTCAAAATATTTATGTTAAAAATTATACAAAGTAACTTGGTGCAGTGGCTCCCATCTGTAATCCCAGAACTTTTAGAGGCCAAGGCAGGAGGGTCACTTGAGCCCAGGAGTTGGAAGCCAGCCTAGACAACAGGACAAGAACCTGTCTCCACAAAAAATTATTAGGGTGGTGCAAAAAGTAATTGCGGGTTTTGCCATTACTTTCAATGGCAAAACCCGCAATTACTCTTGCACCAACCTGATAAGAAATAAGCTGGGTATGGTGGTGGCGTGTACCTGTGGTCTCAGCTATTTGGGAAGTGAAGGCAGAGGTGGGAGGATTGCTTGAGTCCAGGAGTTCCAGACTAGCTGGAGACCCTGTCTCTATGAGAAAAAAAAAAAAAAAAAATAGCTGGGCCCACGTACCTGTAGCAACTTGGGAGGCAAAGGCAGAGGTGCCAGAATCACTTGAGCCCAGAAGCTCAAGGCTGCAGGGCACTGTGATTGTGCCACTGCACTCCAGCCTGAGTGATGGAGCATGACCATGACTCCAAATAATAATAATAATTACAAAAAGGAAAGACCTAGAACACCAGGTTAGGGTTAAGTATTCTAAAATTCAGCTGACTTACTCTGTTCACTATAAAGCAGGTTGCCACAGAAAATATAGCATGCCCAGTTAATTTGAAATTTCAGATAAACAAATACTTTTTTCAGTGTAAGTATGTCCCATGCAGTATTTGGGACATGAGTATACTAAAATATTATTCTTTGTTTATCTGAAATTGAAATTTAACTGGGTATTACGTAATTATAGCAGACTGACCATAACAGATATGAGCTGAGCAAAATTCTACTTTAAACTTCAAGGTTTATAATAAATGCATTATTAATCAAGAACTATTATTTACTGAGACCTGTGTAGATCCCCGTATTTATCTTTTTAAATGTGGAACTAGGAAAGCTACATAAAGAACATTTATAGAAATAAATGACTGTTCTATAGCTGAAAGGAAAACTCTAGCTTTTATTTTTCTCCCCAAACTTAAGGTTTATTCTACATTTGTATAAACAATAAAATTACAGCTCAACTTTGGAAGCACAGATCATAATATAAAAATAAAGCAAAGATCCCAGAAACATTTAACAGGCAACAAACCTTTCACATCATCTTACTATATCAACTAAACATATAATAACTTAGAATGATCCATTAATTATAAGTAAAGAATAAATTCTTTTATAAAGCATAACTATTAATATTATTGACCATCATAAGAGCAAATATTTTAAGTAAAACACCATGAATACTTTACAGAAAGGAGCGAGTTGCAGACACAGTCATTCTTGGATTTCTTTCAACACCAGTCTTTCTTCCCTTTTGACCTGAACTGGGAGTTGAATATTTCCTCTCTTTGCCCTCTGACCCTCTAGTCTCTGAAGCATCTTTTGTACTAGAGGTATGTGCAGAGACTTCCTGGAAATTTGGATTTGTAAATTGTGCTGTTGTATCTTCTAGGCACTGCAGTGATCCAGATATAGAGCTGTTGCTCTTGCTTGTATAAGTGTAACATTTTGATTCAAAAAAGGAAGTAAAAGGAAGAGAGTTGATTACATTTGGCTACTGACATTAATAATAATAAATAATAATTGTACTTGTAATATAAACATCTGAAAGTTTTAGTTCTAAGAATGGGTGTCCACATAAGAGAATTATGTAAAAATAATTAATGTCTATTATAATTACTTTTCTTTAACCAAAGAAAAAGTATAATTTAAAGATGGCTGTTTAAGGATCAAATTGCAGCCATTGGTAAAAGTAGATATTAGTCATATTTATTAACTGACACACAGTGATACTGAAGGCACTTATTTCTCAAGAAACATTATTTTTTCCCAACAAGAACATACTACATCCTAGACATGAAATGAAAATAAGCTTTAATTTTCACCACAGGAGGGCGACAATCAGAGAACTGAGGTGGTACAGATCCATTAGAGGACCATATCCATGAGTCCATCACTCTCTACTGTAGGACAGAGCAAGAATTTTTAAAGAATCTCGGTGAAGGCTCCTTTTCAAAAAAATACAAAGATTAAAGCCTTTGAAACGTAAATTATTTTTTCCAGTTATTACACTGAGGACAAAGTTATAGTTGCAAAGTTAAGATTTTTATAACTATCCCTAAAATTGATTCTCAGTGACTCCCTTGATCTACATATGTTAAGGAAAAAAGGCAAGATAAAGATGTGTTAAATATTTTCCAGTTTTTAATAATCAGCTTTAATATAAGGTATACCCAAATCATGGTTAATTAAATGACAATGAAAGAATGTTATAGCAGATGCTCACTTATCAACATGCCTTGAAATTAAAGGTTTATAAGGTGCATAAGGGCAAAGTTTTTGATGTTGCCATTACATTCACAAAAGTATCTGAGGCGTGTACAGCATGAAGTTCACTAAGTGCTTGCAACATAACCAGCACTAAATTTTGTTGAATAAATAAATGAATACTTTTGTATAGCATCTGTTCAAAATCTCTGATGTAAAAATGAAAATAATCTGAAAATATGCAAAACTGAAATTTCCCACATACGGTTGCCAATTCGGACAAACAATAAGATGAATTTCAAAATGAGAACATGACAATAAAATCAAGTTTCAAAATGGCTGACCTTTTTTAGCAATACCCATGTTCAAAAAAAGGAATAAGACATCAATTGTTTTGAGAACCAAAATTTCACTGCTGCTTTTCTCACACCCTGTTGTTAACCTAAGCCCCCATGCTCTTACTGTCAATAACAGATTTTCATCATAAAATACAAGAAACAGGCCGGGTGACTATCAATAGCAGATTTTCATCATCAAATACAAGAAACAGGCCGGGCACGGTGGCTCACACCTGTAATCCCAGCACTTTGGAAGGCTGAGGTGGGTGGATCACTTGAGGCCAGGAGTTTGAGACAAGCCTGGCCAACATGGTGAAACCTCATCTCTACTAAAAATACAAAAATTAGGTAGGTGTGGGGGCAGGCGCCTGTAATCCCAGCCAATCAGGAGGCTGAGGCAGGAGAATCGCTTGAACCTGGGAGGTGGAGGTTGCAGTGAACTGAGATCGAGCCACTGTACTCCAGCCTGGGCGACAGAGCAAGACTCTGCCTTAAACAAATAAATACACAACATAACAGAATCACTGGGACACGTTCAAAGCAGTGTGTAGAGGGAAATTTATAGCACTGAATGCCCACAAGAGAAAGCAAGAAAGATCCAAAACTGACACCTTAACATCACAATTAAAAGAACTAGAAAAGCAAGAGCAAACACATTCAAAAGCTAGCAGAAGGCAAGAAATAACTGAAATCAGGGAAGAACTGAAGGAAATAGAGACCTAAAAAACCCTTCAAAAAATTAAGTAATCCAGGAGCTGGTTTTTTGAAAAGATCAACAAAATCGATAGACCACTAGCAAGACTAATAAGAAAAGAGAGAAAAATCAAATAGGTGCAATAAAAAATGATAAAGGGGATATCATCACCGATCCCACAGAAATGCAAACTACCGTCAGAGAATACTAAAAACACCTCTACGCAAATAAACTAGAAAAGCTAGAAGAAATGGATAAATTCCTTGACACATACATTTTCCCAAGACTAAACCAGAAAGAAGTTGAATCTCTGAACAGACCAATAACAGGCTCTGAAATTGTGGCAATAATCAATAGCTTACCATCCAAAAAAAGTCCAGGACCAGATGAATTCACAGCTGAATTCTACCAGAGGTACAAGGAGGAGATGGTACCATTCCTTCTGAAACTATTCCAATCAATAGAAAAAGAGGGAATCCTCCCTAACTCATTTTATGAGGCCAGCATCATCCTGATACCAAAGCGTGGCAGAGATACAACCAAAACAGAGAATTTTAGACCAATATCCTTGATGAACATTGATGCAAAAATCCTCAATAAAATACTGGCAAACCGAATCCAGCAGCACATCAAAAAGCTTATCCACCATGATCAAGTGGGCTTCATCCCTGAGATGCAAGGCTGGTTCAACATATGCAAATCAATAAATGTAATCCAGCATAGAAACAGAACCAAAGAAAAAAACCTCATGATTATCTCAATAGAAGCAGAAAAGGCCTTTGGCAAAATTCAACAAAACTTCATGCTAAAAACTCTCAATAAATTAGGTATTGATGAGACATATCTCATAATAATAAGAGCTATCTATGACAAACCCACAGCCAATATCATACTGAATAGACAAAAACTGGAAGCATTCCCTTTGAAAACTGACACAAGCCTGGGATGCCCTCTCTCACAACTCCTATTCAACATAGTGTTGGAAGTTCTGGCCAGGGCAATCAGGCAGGAGAAGGAAATAAATGGTATTCAATTACGAAAAGAGGAAGTCAAATTGTCCTTCTTTGCAGATGACATGATTGTATATCTAGAAAACCTCATTGTCCCAGCCCAAAATCTCCTTAAGCTGATAAGCAACTTCAGCAAAGTCTCAGGATACAAAATCAATGTACAAAAATCACAAGCATTCTTATACACCAATAACAAAGAAACAGAGAGCCAAATCATGAGGGAACTCCCATGCAAAATTGCTTCAAAGAATAAAATACCTAGGAATCCAACTTACAAGGGATGTGAAGGACCTCTTCAAGGAGAACTACAAACCACTGCTCATTGAAATAAAACAGGATACAAACAAACGGAAGAACATTCCATGTTCATGGGTAGGCAGAATCAATATCGTGAAAATGGCCATACCGCCCAAGGTAATTTATAGATTCAATGCCATCCCCATCAAGATACCAATGACTTTCTTCACAGAAATGGAAAAAAACTACTTTAAAGTTCATATGGAACCAAAAAAGAGGCCGCATTGCCAAGTCAATCCTAAGCCAAAAGAACAAAGCTGGAGGCATCACGCTACCTGACTTCAAACTATGCTACAAGGCTACAGTAACCGAAGCAGCATGGTACTGATACCCAAACAGAGATATACATCAATGGAACAGAACAGAGCCCTCAGAAAAAATGCTACATATCTACAACCATCTGATCTTTGACAAACCTGACAAAAACAAGAAATGGGGAAAGGATTCCCTATTTAATAAATGGTGCTGGGAAAACTGGCTAGCCATATGTAGAAAGCTGAAACTGGATCCCTTCCTTACACCTTATACAAAAATTAATTCAAGATGGATTAAAGACTTACATGTTAGACCTAAAACCATAAAAACCCTAGAAGAAAACCTAGGCAATACCATTCAGGACATAGGCATGGGCAAGGACTTCATGTCTAAAACACCAAAAGCAATGGCAACAAAAGACAAAATTGACAAATGGGATCTAATTAAACTAAAAAGCTTCTGCAAAGCAAAAGAAACTACCATCAGAGTGAACAGGCAACCTGCAGAATGGGAGAAAATTTTTGCAACCTACTCATCTGACAAAGGGCTAATAGCCAGAATCTACAATGAACTCAAACAAATTTACAAGAAAAAAACAACCCCATCAAAAAGTGGGCAAAGGATATGAACAGACACTTCTCAAAAGAAGACATTTATGCAGCCAAAAAACACATGAAAAAATGCTCACCGTCACTGGCCGTCAGAGAAATGCAAATCAAAACCACAATGAGATATCATATTACACCAGTTAAAATGGCGATCATTAAAAAATCAGGAAACAACAGGTGCTGGAGAGGATGTGGAGAAATAGGAAAACTTTTACACTGTTGGTGGGACTGTAAACGTGTTCAACCATTTTGGAAGTCAGTGTGGCGATTCGTCAGGGATTTAGAACTAGAAATACCATTTGACCCAGCCATCCCACTACTGGGTATATACCCAAAGGACTATAAATCATGCTGCTATAAAGACACATGCACACGTATGTTTATTGTGGCACTATTCACAATAGAAAGACTTGGAACCAACCCAAATGTCCAACAATGATAGACTGGATTAAGAAAACGTGGCACATATACACCATGGAATTCTATGCAGGAGAAAAAAATGAAGAGTTCTTGTCCTTTGTAGGGACGTGGATGAAACTGGAAACCATCATTCTCAGCAAACTATCACAAGGACTAAAAACCAAACACCACATGTTCTCACTCATAGGTGGGAATTGAACAATGAGAACACATGGACACAGAAAGGGGAACATCACACACTGGGGACTGTTTTAGGGTGGGGGAGTGGGGAGGGATTGCATTAGGTGATATACCTAATGCTAAATGACGAGTTAATGGGTGGAGGACACCAGCATGGCACATGTATACATATGTAACAAACCTGCACATTGTGCACATGTACCCTAAACTTTAAAGTATAATAAAAAAAAAAAACAAGAAACAACAGATGCTGGGAAGGCTGTGGAGAAATAAACACTTTTACACTGTTGGTAGGAATGTTAATTAGTTCAATCATTGTGGAAGACAGTTTGGCAATTCTGCAAGGATCTAGAACCAGAAATACCATTTGACCCAGAAATCCCATTACTGGGTATATATCCAAAGGACTATAAATCATTCTATTATAAAGATGCATGCACACATATGTTTATAGCAGCACTATTCCCATTAGCAAAAACATGGAATCAATCCAAATGCCCATCAGTGATAGACTGGATAAAGAAAATGTGGTACATACACGCCATGGAGTACTATGCAGCCATAAAAAGGAATGAGATCATGTCTTTTGCAGGGACATGAATGAATCTAGAAACCATCATCTTCAGCAGTCTAATACAGGAACAGAAGACCAAACACCACATGTTCTCACTCATAAGTGGGAGCTGAATAATGAGAACACCTGGACACAGGGAGGGGAACAACACACACTGGGGCCTGTCATTGGGGACGGGGAGGAAGAGCATCAGGAAGAGCTAACGCATGTGGGGCTTAATACCTAGGCACCTAGGCTGTGGGTTGATAGGTACAGCAAATCATCATAGTGCACGTTTACCTACGTAACAAACCTGCATGTCCTGCACATTTATCCTGGAACTTAAAATAAAATTTTAAAAAATATAAAGAAAACAAGAGTACTGAAAATTGGCTCACAGTTCCACAGCCTGTACAGCAAGCATGATGCTGACATCTGCTCAGCTTCTGGGGAGGCCTCAGCACACTTAACAATCATGGTGAAAGGGAAAGCAAGAGCAGGAGGAAGAGAGAGGGGGAAGGTCCTACACACTTTAAACAACAAGATCTCATGAGAACTCTATCACAAGAGCAGCGCTAGGGGGATTATGCTTAACCAATAGAAACTGCTCCCATGGACCAGCCACCTCACAGCAGGCCCCATCTCCGACAGTGGGAACCACTTGAGGCTGCTCCTGTGGACCAGCCACCTTCCAGCAGGCCCCGTCTCCAACACTGGGAACCACTGGAAACTGCTCCCATGGACCAGCCACCTCCCAGCAGGCCCCATCTCCGACACTGGGGATTACATTTCTATAGAAGTTTCCAATAATTTTGGAACACATATTAATAACATATTTATAAAAATACAGTACAAAGTAGCCCAAACATCATTCACTCTTCTATTTGAAAGTTTTCCCTCTATTCTAATGTCACAATCTCCAGCGTTATTAATCAGAATCCTGCATTTAAGGGCATCTGTTAAATTTTATAGCTGATTATAAAACCATCATTTAAAGAGGACCAAAATGAGACAATTGTCTGTGGATGATAAAAACATTAAGGGCAGCCACAGTTAAGGACATGAACAACAGCCTTTAAAGTAGAATTTGTTGTAGGGCCTATTATGTGGGAGATATTTCTAGTTGTTACCTCTTTTATTCTAAACCATGGAAAAAGGACCTATCAAATAAAGTCCTTCTAGAAGAGTGAAGGGCTCCTGGCAATGTTCTCTTTAATCCATGCTGTGGGATAAGGGGAGTTTTTACGGATTATGAGGCAATGTATATACCACTAAAGTTTCAACACCCCAAAAGGAAAAAAAAGAGGGGGAGGGAAGTCCTGGAAGAACCAGATGGAGCCGTAGCAGAAGATGATTTCAATCCACTGACCCCTGAATTGTGGGCTGGTTGTGCTGCATCGCTCTGTGACTTATGATTCTGCCACAAAAAAGATCTAATTCCCAGGGTTATAGGAAAAGACACCTGTGGTACCCCTGAGGCAGAGAGAAGGGATAAATCCAAACCCGACTTAAGTCTAGGGTTCTTAAACCACACAGTCTGCTCACAAGGAGGACCTTAACTCTGAAGATACTGATTTGGGGCTGTTTCAAAGAAAGAAATTATAAATATGAGTGGGAAAGAGAACAACCTTCGCCATATCCAGTGGCAAAAAAATGAGAGAGAGGGAAGAAAGGAAGGAGGGAAAGAAGGAGAGAGGGAAGAAAGGAGGGAAGGAAGGAGAGAGGGAAGAAAAGAGGGAAGGAAGGAAGTAGGGAGGGAGGGAGGAATGGAAGGAAGGAGAGAGGGAAGGAAGGAATGAAGGAAGGAGAGAGAGAAGGAGGGCAGGAAGGAAGGAAAGGAAGGAGAGAGGGAAGGAAGGAGGGAGGGAGGGAAGGAAGGAAGGAGAGAGGGAAGTAAGGAGGGAAGGAAGAAAAGGAAAGAGGGAAGGAAGGAGGGAAGGAATGAAGGAAGGAAAGAGGGAAGGAAGGAAGGAAAGATGGAAGGAAGGAAGGAGGGAAGGAAGGAAGGAAGGGAAGGAAGTTGGATATGCACAAAAACAAAATTTAAATTAGAATTCTATCATCTGACCTAATTGGAAATGTACTATTTTCTAAAATAACTTATACAGTCCAAAAGTAAAAGGGTGCTGTTTGGTATTTGTAACTCTCCAGCATATATTCTAATCAATTTTAACATCTGTTGAAATCTACCAATTGGCATACCTTCACAAACTTAATCAATACTGGAGCTCAAACTTTGTTATACCTGAGATTTCACTAAATTTAAACATTGCATCCCCTAATCCTAGCAGAGTAACTGCATATAGAATAGAGGACACATAGTTATGCCTCACATTTGTTACCTTGACTAAATTTCCCGTAGTCATAGAAGCCTTTGTCCATAGGGGACCTAGATGCTCTGACCCAATGAGTAACAAATTGATATTAAATCATTTGAACTTACACATTGACTTCACCAAATGTAACCTTACAGAACTCTCTCTCCTGTTTTTTTTTAATTTGATTTATTTTTAATTTTTCATTTTTTTTTAGAGATGGGGTCTTGCTCCATTACCCAGGCTGAATGAAGTGCGGTGGCACAATCATAGCTCACTGCTGCCTTGAACTCCTGGGCTCAAGCAATCCTCCCATTTTAGCCTTCCAAATAGCTGGGATTACAGGCATGTACCAGCACAGCCAATTTAAAAAATTATAGAAGTGGAGTCTTGCTATGTTGCCTAGGCTGGTCTCTAACTTCTGGCCTCAAGCAATCCTCCTGCCTCGGACTCCCAAAGTGCTGGGATTACAGGTGTGAGCCATCGCACCTAGCCTCCCCATCTTGATAAATTATCAAATATGATCCAACATAAATTACAACATGACTTCAAATAAATAAAACTTATTATATAAGACCTAATTAATTAGTGAAGGGGTGATAATCCTCATTGCTTCAATGTTTAGCAGTAGAATTTGGCCTGTTCTTAAACCTGCAAATAATAAATGATGTTTCACAGTGGATTACTGTAATGTGACTGCAGTGCTCCCATCCATTCAGGCCCTCGTACCCAATGCCTAATATTGTGGTTAATTTTTTTTTATTTCAATAGGTTTTTGGGGAATATGATGGTTTTCTTTTTATTTCAATAGGTTTTGGGGAAACAGGTGGTTTTTGGTTACAGGACTAAGTTGTTCAGTGGCGATTTCTGAGATTTGTGGTGCACCCATCACCCAAGCAGTGTACACTGTACCCATTGTGTAGTGTTTTATCCCTCACTGCACTCACCCCACCACTCCCAGCCTTTCTCTGAGTCCCCGAAGACCATTATTTCATTCTTATGCCTTTGCATCCTCATAGCTTAGCTCTCACTTATGAATGAGAACATACAATGTTTGGTTTTCCATTCCTAAGTTGCTTCACTTAGAATAATGGTGTCCAGTTTCATCCAGGTTGCTGTGAATGCATTATTTCATTCCATCTTACGGCTGAGTAGTATTCCATGTGGTAAATATTTATACCACATTTTCTTTATCCACTTACTGATTGATGGGCATTTAGGCGGTTTCAAATTCTTCTAACTGCATATTGTGCTGCTATAAACATGTGTGTGAAAGTATCTTTTTCATATAATGACTTATTTTCCTCTGAGTAGATACCCAGGAGTGGAATTACTGGATCAAATGATAGATCTGCTTTTACTTCTTTGGAAATCTCCTCACTGTTTTCCATAGCTGTTGTACTAGTTCACATTCCCTCCAAAAAGTGTAAAAGTGTTCCCTTTTTAACACATCCATGGCAACATCTATTAGTTTTTGATTTTTTGATTATGACCATTCTTACAGGAGTGAAGGGGTATCATATTGTATTGTGGTTTTGATTTGCATTTCCCTGATAATTAGTTATGCTGAGCATTTTTTCATGTTTGTTGGCCAGTTGTTTATCTTCTTTTGAGAATTGTCTGTTCATGTCCATAGCCCACTTTTTGATGGGATGTTTTTCTTCCTGGTTTGTTTGAGTTCCTTGCAGATTCTGGGTGTTAGTTCTTTAATCAGAGGTACAGATTGCGAAGATTTTCTCCCACTCTGTAGGTTATCTGTTTACTCTGCTATTTCTCTTACTGCGCAGAAGCCTTTTAGTTTAATTAAGTCTCATCTATTTATCTTTGTTTTAGTTGCATTTGCTTTTTGGGTTATTGGTCATGAAGTCTTTGCCTAAGCCAGTGTCTAGAAGGTTTTTTCCAATGTCGTCTTCTAGAATTTTTATGGTTTCACGTATTAGATTTAAGTCCTTGATCCATCTTGAGTTGATTTTCGAATAGGGTGAGAAATGAGCATCCACTTTCATTCTTCTATGTGTGGCTTGCCATTTCAGCACCATTTGTTGAATAGGGTATTCTTTCTCTGCTTTATGTTTTTGTTTGTTTTGTTGAAGATTAGATGACTGTAAGTATTTGGCTTTATTTCTGTGTTCTCTATTATGTTCCATTGATCTTTATGGCTATTTTTATACCAGTACCATGCTGTTTTGGTGACTATGGCCTTCTAGTATAGTTTGAAGTCGGCTTCTAGATTTGTTATTTTTGCTTAGTCTTGCTTTGGCTATACAGACTCTTTTTTGGTTCTAGGCTTTTACTACCTTAATGTATTTCCCTTCTATGTCTTTTTTAGTTCCGTGTGAATTTTTGTAGTTCTGTGAAGACTGATGTTGGTACTTTAATGGGGATTGCATTGAGTTTGTACATTGCTTTTGGCAGTATGGTATTTTCACAATATTGATTTTACCCATCCGTGAGCATGGGATATGTTTCCATTTCTTCATATCTATGATTTCTATCAGCAGTGTTTTGTAGTTTTCCTTGTAGAGGTCTTTTGTCTCTTTGGTTAAGTATTCCAGATATAATTAAGATTTTGTCTGCAAAGATTGCATGCAATTGACAATTATAGGAATATAGTATTATAATTATAGGAATTATAATATTCCTAAGGTTTTTATTGCAACTATTGTAAAAGGGGGTGAGTTTTTATTTAATTCTCAGCTTGTTCACTATTACTGTATAGCAGAGCCACTGACTTGTGTACGTTAATTTTTTATCCTGAAACTTTGCTGAATTCACCAGTTCTAGTAGCTTTTGGGATGAGTCTTTAGGGTTTTCTAGGTATACGATCATGTCATCAGCAAAGAGTGACAGTTCGACTTCCTCTTTACCGATTGGGATGCCCTTTATTTCTCTTATCTGATTGCTCTGGCGAGGACTTCTAGTACTATGTTGAATAGAAGTGGTGAAAGTTGACATCATTGTCTTGTTCCAGTTCTCAGGGGGAATGCTTTCAACTTTTCCCCATTCCATATAATGTTGGCTGTGTGTTTGTCATATATGGCTTTTATTACCTTAAGGTATGTCCCTTCTATGTTGATTTTGCTAAGGGTTTTAATCATAAAGGGATTCTGGATTTTGTCAAATGCTTTTTCTATGTCAATTTTGCTGAAGGTTTTAGGCATAAAGGGATGATAGATTTTGTCAAATCCTTTTTCTGCATGTATTGAGAGGATCATGTGATTTTTGTTTTTAATTCTGTTTATATGGTGTATCACATTTATTGACTTGCAGATGTTTAACCATCCTGCATCCCTGGTTTCTCTTCAGATCGTATACCTCTTTTGCCTTATGATGGTTAATTTTATTTTCCAAGTTGGGTTGCCTAGATATTTGGTTAAACACTCTGGATGTGTCTGTGAGGGTGTTCCTTGATGAGACGAACATTTGAATATGTAGACTTAGTAAAGTAGTTTCCCTCCCCAGTGTGAGTGGGCCTCATCCAATCCATTAAAACCCAAATAAAACACAAGGGTAGAGGAAGAGAGAATTC